>NW_003571061.2:609415-796479 GCF_000001405.40 Homo sapiens | reverse complement strand
AAGCTTCAATCTTATCCTTTTAACCCTCAAACCTTTTAACCCAGTCCGACACCCAGCAGCGACTTAGACAATTGCATTAGAGCCTCTGGAAAACCAAGAGTTTAATCGTCCAGCCTTTACCCCTCTCGGGGGCCCAGAGATACTACCACTTCCTAACTTTCCCAGAAACTTGCCCCCAAGCCCTTGAAGTCCCAAGCCTGCTCCTCTGGGTCTCCAGGATCCCAAGCACCAGACTTGGGCTCTTCTTCAAAACCCAAAGGTCCAATTCCCCAGCCTCTCCCCTCCAATATCCAGGGCTCTGTCCTCCTAGGGAGCCCAGGCATGGTGCTTCCCAGGCCCTGGGAAAACAAACTGGCTTCTTCCAGCCTTTTGGGGATCCAGGGATCCAACCTCTCAGACTTTACCCACTCCCAGCCCCCTTCCTCCCTTAGGCCCAGGAATCCGGGTCTCCATTCCCAACTCCCTTAGCCCCAGAAGTCTGGGTCCCGCCCCCTCCCACCCTGCTCCTCCCTCTCTCCCAGCCCCGGCCCGCCCCATCACCATCTCACCCACCTGAGAAGAGCCAGGAAGACAGAAGGAAAAACACAGAAAAAAAGGGGGCGGAGTCAGCATCGGGAGCCCCCGGGACGCACCCCTCCTTGACCCCCTTGCCCTGCCCTGGGGCGGACACTCACCCATTGACAGCGACCTGGGGGGCGCTTTGCTGTAGGAAGTAAGACAGTCGGGTCAGGCGGGGCCAGGCGGACCGGCCGCGCCCCCGGACTTCCCAGCCTCGGCCCTGCTGTGTCGCTTGGGTCACCTGCCGGCGCCTCCGCTCGTGCTGTAGCTGTTTCTCAACTGGGTCCTCCCAGGCGCGGCTCTGCGGGTCAGTGACCGGCGGCTCCCAGCCGCTGAAGAACTCGGGTCTGTATGGGGGTCCCTCCTCCGGGGACAGCTCCAGCCTGCGGCCAGGGACAGGGCCAAGAGCTCAGGGATCCTGATACAGCCCCCAACTTCGTTCCTGCATTAACTTCACTAAGTTTTCCCCTAAAGCTCGCTGTATTCCAACGATTCTAGCCCCGCCACTTTTCACCAAGTCCTGCCGGTAGCTCTAAGCCCAACTCAACAGCAATTTATATTTCTAGACCGGGCACGGTGGCTCACGCCTGTAATCCCAGCATTTTGGGAGGCCAAGATGGGAGGATCGCTTGAGGCCAGGAGTTCCAGACCAGCCTGGGCAAAATATTGAGACCCCATCCATCTCTCTCTCTGGAAAAAAATTGCCTTATCCAGCCTCTAAATCTCACCTGATTCCAAATCAGGTTTTCCGTAAGGTCGGTTTCAGGTTCTGACCCTTTCCCTGCGGAACTGCCAGCCCGCAGTGCACAGACTCTGTCCCATCACCAAAGTTATAGACCAAACCTTCCAGAAGCCCCGCCCCTTCGCGTAGCCCCGCCCCTGCCCCGTAGCCCCTAGCCCCTCTATTCCTTTAAGCCCCCCTTTTCTTTCAATCCGATTGGTCTGGTGGTCTTAAATCTTTCCTTCACGTTAATTCCTGGCCTTTCCTCCAATTGAATCTTGGCATCTGTCCTAAGCCCCGCCCCAACACAACTAAGCCACGCCTCTAACCCCTCCCTACTCTCCTAGTCCTATTTTCCAATCATCATGCCACCCACCTCCCAGCGCCTTATGCTCCTCCAATCACCATGCCCCCTGCCTCCCAGCCCCGCCCCTCACCCGGGGCGGGTCCACGAGTCCCCCAGCGAGGTCCAGAGCTCGTTTTCACGTGGAGTGACGTTGTCCCGCAGCAGCGCCACGGCATCCGATGTCAGATGCGGCCGCCGCACACTGCTCGCGAACTCCGGCCCCCCCGACGTGTTCACAATCTGTCAGGGGAGCAGGAGGGGCAGGCTGTGCCGCCACACCTTCTACAAGTCGAACCCGATTCCTCCCGCTGCAGGGGGGCCCGAGGGCCTGGGGCGGGTCTCACCATCTGCAGAGGCCCGAAAAGGAAGTGCAACAGCTCCGGAGAGGAGGGGTCGGCGATGTTGCCGCGCAGCCGGGCCTGGGGCGTGGGGAGGGAGGTGGTTGGCGTGGGTGCGGGGACGGGACAGGTTCGTCGTGCCCGCGCCCCGGCCCAGGGGCGGGCGCGTCCTCACCAGCAGGCTGAAGGCGTACTTGATCTTCTGCAGCACGTCGGTGTACTCGGCCTCCGAGGGCGGCTTGGCCCGCAGCGTCAGCAAGCCCTCTGAGGGGAGCAGACGGGCGCGGCGATGGGGACGCGGGGCCAGCACCAGGCAGGCAGAGAGAGGTGGACACCCGGTTAAGATGGCGGTGAGGTCAGCCCTGGCAAGTGGCGGGAGGGGAGAGCCTGGGGAGAGCGGGGACATTTGGAAGAGATCGGGAGGGGGTTCAGATCCCACGCCAGGGTGCCCCTTACCCCCAGCCGCCCGGCGCCGGCTCCTGCGGCCGCGTTCCCGGTGCTCCAGCACCCTGGCCGCCTCCGCCGACTTCTGCAGCCTCGATACAAAGCTCTCTACGTCGTCGAACACGTGGTTCAGGATGTCCTAGGGGACAGAGGAGGGGGACGCTCAGGGCTCCCGAGTTCCAAAACCATCCCCGTCGAAGCCCTGAACCTGAGCACCTATACACTTCCCCAGATCAGGCCACGCCCCAAACACCTGGCCACGCCCCACAACCAAGCCCCGCCCCCGACCCAGCCCCTCTTCCATAACGCAGAAGTCTGACCAGAGAACGCCCGTCCCGCAGCCGGCCCCGCCCTTCCACGCCCTAGCCCCGCCTCCAGTCGCCTGGCCCTGCCCCCAGACCCCTTCCTTAGCGGCTCACCACTTCCCGCTCCGCCTGCAGAACCGCCAGGTCAGGACCCCGGGGACCCAGGTCCGGGGAGGCCGAGTCAGCGTTGCTCGAGGTCCCCACCGGCTCAGGCCTCTGCGCCTCCTC
The DNA here is from genome assembly GCF_000001405.40 of Homo sapiens. Classification (NCBI taxonomy): domain Eukaryota; kingdom Metazoa; phylum Chordata; class Mammalia; order Primates; family Hominidae; genus Homo; species Homo sapiens. The sequence continues at coordinate 793,539 of NW_003571061.2, read as the reverse complement.
TGCCTCGGGAATGGGCTTCGCCTGGGGTCGTCCGCGGCCCGCGCCCCGCTCTACGGTGCTGATCACTGCGCGGACTGACGGGCGGCGCTGCAGGGGCGGGGTCTCAGCGGCGGGCGAGCGGTCGCGCTGCAACTCCTCCTGCGTGGCCCTGCGGAGGGCGACGGGGACACCAAGACTGGGTCCACTGAGGGGTCCAGGGAGGGGGAAATCCAGGGCGCAGAACGAGACACACAGGCTCAAAAGGCTCAAAGGGAGTGAACAAGTTCAACGAGGTAGGGAGAAATCCGATATACGGAGGGATAGCACCTCTCTAGAGTGAAACTGAGGGCCTGGACAGGGAACAGAGAAAAGAAGCAGAGTTCTGGAGAAGGGGTCAGCTCGTCTGGGAGGTACAGACAAGACTCGACTAGGGTGTGCTTGACTCCATGCAAAACTCTTGTTCTGTTCCAGGCTGGTGTTGTAGACTGAGGCACAAGGAGGGGAAACCGGCTTCCCAGAGACCCTGCCAACTTCTTCCCTCTCACCTGAGCGCCGCCGCCCTGCGCTCCCCGCGGCCCGAGCGGTAATTGTGCAGAGCCCCCTGGATGTCCTCTCGGATCAGCTCCGCCTGCCAATCACACCGTCAGGCCACGCCTCCCCACGCCGCACCCACTTCCTACCCGGGCCTCGCCCCTGGCCGATTTTTCAGCTCAGTCCCAGCCCACGTGCGGCTACCGTTCACACCTGTGAACCCACGCACGTCCACGCCCCGAACTCACCCCTCGCCCTACACCTGTCCCTGCCCTAAGCCACGACCCCGCCCATGGAGACCCAGTCCGGGTGGTTCCTCGCCCCCACCTCGTCCTGGCTGCTCCCCCAGATCCTTCTTGGCCATGTTCTGTTCATGTCCTCATCCCACCTTCATGTTCTATCTTGACCCTGGGTCCAATCTCAAACCCCACTGCCTTCCAGAACTTCCTTCCCAGGTCCCCTGCCCTTCCTTGCTCTGATCCCGCCTTAGCCCCAGGCCCCGCCCCACCTAGAGGCCCCACCCATTTCCGCCCCGGCTCCAGGCTCCGCCCAGTTCCAGCTCCACCCCCAGAGCCAGCCCATCTGCTCACCCCGAGGCGCAGGCCCTGGAAGAAGTGCACGTCGGGCTGCGCGCGCTCGGGTTCCTGGCACACGAGCAGCAGCAACGAGCGGCTCCTGCCGGGTGGCATCACCGCGTCACAGCGCACGATGGCGCCCAGTGGGTACGACTCCAGCTCCTCCTGCCGGGTGGGATGGCGGGGTAAACTGAGGCCCCGAAATGATGGTACTACTAAATGGCGACGGGAGTGTGGGCCAGCAGGTCAGGGCAACCTCAGGCGGTTAGGGGGTTAGGGATAACAGCCCTGTTTAATAGATGAGGCTATTAAGGCTCAAGAAGGGGGCTGGGGTCCCTCGCCAGAGTTCCCAGAGGAAGGACGTGCAGGAGCCAAGATTCACACCCAGACCCCCTGAAGTCCCTGCCCCAGACACTCCTCCCACCCACGTGCCCCCCGGCACCTTGGAGGCCGGGTCGAGCAGCGTGACATGGTCGGGAGACACTCGCAGCAGCATCTCCTGTGCCCAGACTCGGCCCTGGCTATCCATGACGGCCAACTTCCTGGAGGCATCCTCCACGGTATGCACGCCATCGTCCTCACCCAGGCAGAACGTCACCAGGTGCTGGTACGGACCATGGAGAAAGCAGTGAGGCCCAAGATGATGCCAGGTGGGCTCAGAATCCCCCAGAATAATCAGACTTTCAGCCTGAGACTAACCACACCTCCTCCAGGAAGCCTTCCTTGATCACCTGTTCCACAAATCAGCTCCTCCTCCCAGTGCCCTTTGTTTCCCTTTCATCAGAGTGACTAGCACCTGAGTCTGGCTTCTCACAGACTGGAGGCTCCTTGCGGGCAGGGAAGGAGTCTGGATTATAGCTCTCTCCTTCTAAATGCCTCCTCGGGTCTCCTGCCATGCCCCCTGCCACCTCCATTAGAGCACCAGGCGCCTCTGTGGATTCCTCTGGACCTTGTCTACCCCTTCCTCATGCAGGGCTGTGTCTTGATTTGCCTCCGTGGTCCCACTGTCCAGCACAACAGCTGGCCTGGAGGAAAGGCTGGCAGATTAAGTGGACCCGAGGCCCCTGGCTTCATATCCATGACTGAGGTGAGGCAACGGAGGTCCATTTTATGGATGGGCAAACTGACTTTCCACATGCTTCCTGCTTGGGGGCCTAGCTGCTTTCAAAAGCCCTATCTCCTGAGGCCACCTTTGCCCCAGAAGATGTCCTGGGGGAACACAGACCCCAGACTCACATTGACTGGGTACTGGGATACATCAGCCATAACAACTGTGGAGTAACGCTTCCTCTGCTCTGCCAGGGGAGAAAGAGAATGAGCCTGGGAGTCCAGGCCCAGCCCCTCCTCCATCAGACCCAGGAGTCCAGGCCCCCAGCCCCTCCTCCCTCAAACCTAGGAGTCCAGCCCCCCAGCCCCTCTTCCCTCTGACCCAGGAGTCCAGGCCCCCAGCCCCTCCTCCCTCAAACCCAGGAGTCCAGGCCCCCAGCCCCTCTTCCCTCTGACCCAGGAGTCCAGCCCCCCAGCCCCTCCTCCCTCTGACCCAGGAGTCCAGACCCCCAGCCCCTCTTCCCTCTGACCCAGGAGTCCAGGCCCCCAGCCCCTCTTCCCTCTGACCCAGGAGTCCAGGCCCCCAGCCCCTCTTCCCTCTGACCCAGGAGTCCAGCCCCCCAGCCCCTCTTCCCTCTGACTCAGGAGTCCAGACCCCCAGCCCCTCTTCCCTCTGACCCAGGAGTCCAGCCCCCCAGCCCCTCTTCCCTCTGACCCAGGAGTCCAGCCCCCCAGCCCCTCTTCCCTCTGACCCAGGAGTCCAGCCCCCCAGCCCCTCTTCCCTCTGACCCAGGAGTCCAGCCCCCCAGCCCCTCTTCCCTCTGACCCAGGAGTCCAGCCCCCCAGCCCCTCTTCCCTCTGACCCAGGAGTCCAGGCCCCCAGCACCTCTTCCCTCTGACTCAGGAGTCCAGGCCCCCAGCCCCTCCTCCCTCAAACCTAGGAGTCCAGCCCCCCAGCCCCTCTTCCCTCTGACCCAGGAGTCCAGACCCCCAGCACCTCTTCCCTCTGACTCAGGAGTCCAGACCCCCAGCCCCTCCTCCTCCAAGACCCTGGATGCCAGGTCCTGTTTCTTTAGACCCAGTTCTATGGGCCTGGGGCTCCCTTGCCCCCCGCTCACCATAGATAGACTTGGCGCTTGGCTTTGGGGCAGCTTCTGGGCTGGTGAAGAAAAGAGGAATGAGAGAGACTGTGGGACTGGGGGCAGATCCTGTGGAAATGCCAAGCAGGGCAGCAAGGGCTTCATGACGAAGGTAATGGGGAGCGATGGAAGGGTTATTATTATTATTATTATTATTATTATTATTATTATTATTGAGCAGGAGAGCTCAGAGCCAGAGCTGGACTTTAAGAAGACAGGTAGGCTGGGCGCGGTGGCTCACGCCTGTAATCCCAGCACTTTGGGAGGCAGAGGTGGGCGGATCACAAAGTCAAGAGATTGAGACCATCTTGGCCAACATGGTGAAACCCTGTCTCTACTAAAAATACAAAAATTAGCTGGGTGTGGTGGTGGGCGCCTGTAGTGCCAGCTACGTGGGAGGCTGAGGCAGGAGAATCACTTGAACCTGGGAGGCGGAGGTTGCAGTGAGTCCAGATCGTGCCACTGCACTCCAGCCTGGCAGCAGAGTGAGACTCCATCTCAAAAAAAAAAAAAAAAAAAAAAAGACAGGTCAGGTCAGGCGGTGGTGCTGGGTGGTAGGGGAGTGTGATCTCTACCATGGCATAGTCCGGGATTCAAACCCTCTGTCTACTGCCTCCTTGCCATAAGACCTTCAGAAGAGGATTTAATCTCTCCTGCCTCAGTTTTTCTTTCTGTAACGTAGTAACCATCTGGTAGGGCTGTTGGGCAAATTCAGTCAGATGATGCAGGTGAAGTATTTTGAAGCCTCAATAACTGTTATTATCATTCTTAAGATGCTGCCAGGGCTTAGCACACAGAAGTTGCTCAATAAATGGGAATGGTTATAATAGCATTAGTGGTATCTGAAGTAGACAGGGAATTATCTGCTTCCCCTCCCACTCCCATGGGCCAGGTGCTTCCCAACCACATCCTTCTCTGTCTCCTCCCGTCCTCAATTTCTTCCTAAGATTACCTTTCCTAAGAATTCTTGAATCCCCACTTGCATGCACATAACAGAAGCTCAGCGATCAGGTGGCGTCAGGGGAACTGAAAAACCCTTTTTCCCAAACTCCTGTTCCTCATCCTGCTCCTGCCAGTCTGATGTCACCACAATTTGATTACCTCTGGGCCAGAGAGCTCACTACCTACCATGCAGGTATTTTGACTCATCTCTCATTGTTTTTCTCCCTGCTTACTCTGGGGGACTTGAGTCTTCATTATAAACAGCCCTGATTTTCTAGCAAAGGGTTAATATTTACTAACAACATAACAATCGCAATAGCGACTCCTATGAGTTGAGCACCTGCTGTCAGTGAGGTGGTCAGCTAAGTCCTGTAATGCACTATCCCTCCAATTTTTCAACATTGTCCCTGTGTCACAGAGGAGGGGCTGAGGCTCCAGGAGGTGATGTCCTCTGACCAGGGTTACATCAGCACTGAGTGTGAGGGCCGAACTGGAGCTCAGGCCTGTCTGCTCTGCAGTGGGGGCCCCTAACCCCAGGCTGGGCAGGGAGGAGAGAGGCTCTGGCTTCCTCCTGAGTGTCGGGGCTTGGGCCAGAGTCTGGGCCGCCGCAAACAGTCTGGGCTGCCGCAAGCGGGTGTGGGTGAGGAGGCGAGGGGAGGCGGGAGGCGTGCTGGGGCTGGGACCTGGGGTCCGGGGGCGCTTACCCTGTGGCGGTGCTCATGGTGCTGAGTGGTAGCTCCTGCCCACCTGGAGGTGCCCTGGGAGCCAGCAAACATGTGAAGGCCTGGCCAGTAGGAGCCTCTAATTCCTACCCCAGCCTCCTCCCTCAATGCAGGCATCCAGGCCCCAGCCCCTCCTCCCTCAGGCCCAGGAGTCCAGGCCCCCAGCCCCTCCTCCCTCAGACCCAGAAGTCCAGGCCCCAGTCCCTCTTCCCTAGACCCAGGAGTCCAGACCCCAGTCCCCTCCTCCCTCAGACCCAGGAGTCCAGACCCCAGTCCACTCCTCCCTCAGACCCAGGAGTCCAGGCCCCATCTCCTCCTCCCTCAGACCCAGGAGTCCAGGCCCTCAGCCCCTCCTCCCTCAGACCTAGGAGTCCAGGACCCCAGGCCCTCCTCCCTCAGACCCGGGAGTTCAGACCCCCAGCCCGTCCTCCCTGAGACCCTGGAGTCCAGACCCCAGTCCCCCCGTCCCTCAGACCCATTGGTCAAGCCCCGGCCCCCTTCTCTCCTGACCCGGATCTCCTTACCTGCCTGCTCAGGCTCTGCCCTGCTCTCCGCTGTCCTTTCCCTTCCAGGCTGCCGGCCCCTCCTCCTGCTCCCTCCCAGGGCCGTCCTGCCTCCGCCTCCGCCTCCGCATACCTGAGCATTCACCTGGCACAGCCTGGCTGGAGTGACCCCGGGGCGGGGCTGGCAGACAGATCTAGGAGGGGCTGGGGGGACTGCAGGGGAGCTGGGAAACTAACTGTCTGCCTTGTAGCAACAGAATAATAGCAACGAACAGTACATTTGATGTCACACTTGTTCACAGGTCAGAGTTGAAAGCTCTGTCTTTAAAACTCCCTTGAAATTCTAACAGCGGGAGGAAGTTCGAGGTTTGATTCCTGCTTGACAGATGAGGAAGCTGAAGGCCAGAGAGGTTGAGCAACTTGTCCATTTCAGCACTTGGTTAAGGAGGGATTTGAACCCGGGGCTGACCTTCTGTCTCCAGGGCCAGTGGCAGCCCGTCTTCTATGGACACCTCCTGCCCACGATCACTGCCTCTGCTCATGCCCTTACCTCCCCACCCATCCCGTTCCACCTTCCTTTGGAAATTTCCCTCAATGACCCCCCTATTCTGACAAAAGCTAAGATTTAGCTCGATAATGCCTGGCCCAGCTCCAAGGACATCACAAAAATGAACAGGCTTTCCAGGCATAAACACCTTTCTGAAATCACTTTTCCAGAACTCCCTCCATGCTGTAGAGGTTACTAGCAAAGCTTTCCACATCATTTCTCCCCAGAGCCCCGTGAGGGGAGTGTGTCTGGGTGGGAGGCTGTCTTCGTCTCACAGATGAGAAAATGAGGAAGAGAAGGGTTAAGAAACTTGCATGGGTACAGTGGCTCACATCTCTAATCCCAGCACTTTGGGAGGCCGAGGCAGGCAGATCACCTGAGGACAGGAGTTCGAGACCAGCCCAGCCAACATGGTGAAACCCCATCTGTACTAAAAACACAAAAATTATCCAGGTGTGGTGGCGGGTGCCTGTAATCCCAGCTACTCAGGAGGCTGAGGCAGGAAAATCACTTGAACCCGGGAGGCAGAGGTTGCGGCGAGCCGATAATTGCACCACTGCACTCCAGCCTAGGCAAGAGAGCGAGGCTCCATCTCAAAAAACAGAAAACAGGCCGGGCGCAGTGGCTCACACCTGTAATCCCAGCACTTTGGGAGGCCGAGGCGGGTGGAACACGAGGTCAGGAGATCGAGACCATCCTGGCTAACACGGTGAAACCCCGTCTCTACTAAAAATACAAACAATTAGCCGGGCGTGGTGGTGGGCACCTGTAGTCCCAGCTACTCGGGAGGCTGAGGCAGGAGAATGGCGTGAACCTGGAAGGCGGAGCTTGCAGTGAGCCGAGATTGCGCCATTGCACTCCAGCCTGGGCGACAGAGCGAGACTCTGTCTCAAAAAAGAAGAAAAAAAAAAAGCTGACATCTTGCAAGGCCTTAAGGGACGTGATTCTGATCTCATCTCTTCCTTCTGTGTGTCAGCACACTGGCCTCCTTGCTGCTCTTGGAACATCCAGACCCGGTCCTGCCTCAGGGCCTTTGCACTTGCTGTTTCCTCTGCCTGGAATGCTCTTCTACCAGATACCCTCATGCCTCACTTTCTTGCCTCCTTTGATCTTTGCCTGAATGTCACCTTCTCAGAGGACTGGCTGACCACCCTGTTTCAAATGGCGGCATCCCTTACTCGACTTCTTTTGTTTTTTTTGAGACAGAGTTTCACTCTTGTTGCCCAGGCTGGAGTGCAGTGGCGCAATCTTGGCTCACCGCAACCTCCGCCCCCCCAGGTTCAAGTGATTCTCCTGCCTCAGCCTCCTGAGTAGCTGGGACTACAGGCGCGCGCCACCACGCCCGGCTAATTTTGTACTTTTAGTAGAGACAGCATTTCACCATGTTGGCCAGGATGGTCTCGATCTCTTGACCTCGTGATCTGCCCGCCTCGGCCTCCCAAAGTGCTGGGATTATGGGTGTGAGCCACCGCCCCCGGCAACCCAACTTCTTTGTAGTCTCTTTCCTCTCTCCCTACTTCATTTTTGTGTGGAGAACTTTTCACCTTCTTACCCACTGTGTTCCTGGTTCATTTTGTCTGTGTCTCCTCCGTTAGAATGCAAGCTTCACAGGCTGGGCACGGTGGCACATGCCTGTAATCCCAGCACTTTGGGAGGCTGAGGCGGATTGATCACTTGAGGTTGGGAGTTCGAGACCAACCTGGCCAACATGGTGAAAGCACGTCTCTACTGAAAATATGAAAATTAGCCGGGGGTGGTGGTGTACACCTGTAATCCCAGCTTCTTGGGAGGCTGAGACAAGAAAATTGCTTGAACCCCGGAGGTGGAGGTTGCAGTCAGCCGAGATCACACCATGTCACCAACATGATAAAACCCCATTTCTACTAAAAAAAAAAAAATTAGCCAGAGTTGGTGGTGCACACCTGTAATCCCAGCTTCTTGGGAGACCAAGGCAAGAGAGTCACTTGAACCTGGGAGGTGGAGGTTGCAGTGAACCGAGATGATCGTGCCACTGCACTCCAGCCTGGGTGACAGAGCGAGACTCCATCTTAAAAAAAAAAAAAGCGGCCGGGTGTGGTGGCTCACGCCTGTAATCCCAGCACTTTGGGAGGCCGAGGCGTGTGGATCACGAGGTCAGGAGATTGAGACCATCCTGGCTAACATGGTGAAACCCCGTCTCTACTAAAAATACAAAACAATTAACCAGGCTTGGTGGTGGGTGCCTGTAGTCCCACCTACTCCGGAGGCTGAGGCAGGAGAATGGCGTGAACCCGGGAGGTGGAGATTGCAGTGAGCCAAGATTGCTCCACTGCACTCCAGCCTGGGTGACAGAGCAAGACTCCATCTCAAAAAAAAAAAAAAAAAAATGCAAGCTTCACAAGGGCAAAGATTTTTGTGTGATCAGTCCTCCACTTAATCTGCAGCACACAGAATTGGGTCTAGCACATAGAAAGTGTTGGAGAGATACTTGTTGAGTAAACGAGCTTTTGGCATTTGGTGCATTCATGTGCATTACTGCTTTGTTGCTTCATTCAAGATATGTTGCCTCCACGGTCTATGCTGAGTGAGCCTGGAAATCAGAGAAGGCACATTTTTGCCTTCGATTGATGGGGATGAAGGAACAGAGAGAAAGAGATATAGTGTGGTCTGATGGCAGAGAGCCTCGGGCAGGTGTGGGTCTGAATCCTGGCTTTGCCACTTGATAATTTTGGAGATACTTATTGTGTGCTTATATCTTCTCAGTACATCATAAATGTGTGTGTGTGTGTGTGTGTGTGTGTATGCATAATCCTCACCACATCCTATGGAATGGGTCCTATTATCCCCATTTTTTTTCTTAATTGAGACAAGGTCTAGTTCTGTGGCCCAGGCTAGAATGCAGTGTCATAATCACAGCTCACTGCAGTCTCGACCTACTGGGGTGATCCTCCCATCTCAGACTATATATAAATATATATACACATATATATAGTAGAGTCTCCTTATGTTGCCCAGGCTGGTCTCCAACTCCTGGGCTCATGTGATACTCCTGCCTTATCCTCCCGAAGTGCTGGGATGACAGGCATGAGCCACCCACCACACCCAGCTTATTGGGAGGATAAAGTCAGGTTATAGAGAGTTGTCAATACAGTACCTGGCAAAGAGGAAACGCAAGGCTGGTGTTAGCAATGGCGAGGACGATGGCCTTTCTTCCCATGCGTGCTGCAAGGGAGGACACGAGGGGCTCTGCCAAGGCCAGGAGAGGCTGCTGAGGGTCAGGACAGGCTGCCTGGAGGAGGAGGACAGGCTGCCTGGAGGAGGAGGGCAGGCCAGGAATCACCTTGAAGGATGAGTTTGACAGCCAGTGTCAATCCTAGAAGATAGGGGTGTTCTGGGCCCTGCAACTGCCTGAGTGAAGGATGGGGGCTGCAGGGGTGGCCAGCGGGGCTAGACTGTGAGCTCCTGGCTACCCAGCAGGTGGTCCTGGTGCGTGTAGCAGCGGGTGGGGGAGGTAGGGGTGGAAGGAGGGCCCTTACGCTTCTCTTTCTTTGGCTTCTGCAATTCTGTGTTCTCATCACATTCATGCCACAAGTATTTTCTGTGCTTGACTGTACCTGAGTTGGGGTTTGAGGGAAGGAGCAGACCCCTTGCCCCATTGACAGGAGAAAACAGAGGCTCAGAGAGGGAAGTCAGTAGCCTAAGGTTACAGTGGCCCTGGGCTGTGACACAGATGCAGATCTGACTGGGCCTGGGCTCATTTCTTCATGAACAAGGGGAGAAAACTATCTCATAGAAGCATTTGGTATGGGTCCGAGGCCTTTGGGTCTGAGGGAGGAGGGGCTGGGGTCTGGACTCTTGGGTCTGAGGGAGGAGGGGCTGGGGGCCTGGACTCCTGGGTCTGAGGGAGGAGGGGCTATCTCATTGCTTTGGGGGTGGCGCAGGCGGCCCTCCAGGCCATGGTCTGGAGCAGCAGGTGAGACCGAAACCCGAGCCTCCACCCAAGTCCCAAGTCCCAGGGCCCAGGGCCTCTTTCCTCCTTCTCTGGCCGCAAAGGAGGCCCCTCCCTCTCTGTAACCCACAGCAAATGCCTCCCAAATACCAGTCAAAGTGTCCACCCCTGCACAGTCTGACTCAGCCAGTCCAGGGCGGAGGCAGTAAAGCCCTGTCTTGGCAAGTCACCAGGGAAATCCATCACCGAAGCACCTCTCTCCCCCCTCGGCCTGGCTATTCTGTCATTGGCACCTGTTCTTGGGTGAGTGACAGGGCTCTGTGGTCAGGGTTTGCCTCTGTCCCAGTCTGGGATAGCTGTCTTGGGGGGCTGGCCTTTCTTCCCTCTCACCTGGGATGTCCCAGGAACGGAACAGAATTCTCCCCTGGGGCTTGAAGAGCTCACCCCCCATCTCCTCCGTTATCCCCACCCCCACACCACCCAACACACATCCTCTAGTCTGTAGGATTTGCTGACAAATTCCTATGACAGCCGGATGTGGTGCCTCACACCTGTTACCCAGCATTTTGGGAGGCCATCACTTGAGATCAGGAGTTCGAGACCAGCTTAGCCAACATGGTGAAACCCCATCTCTACAAAAGTAGCTGGGTGTGGTGGCGTGCGCTTGTAGTCCCAGCTACTAGGGAGACTGAGGCAGGAGAATCACTTGAACCCGGGAGGCAGAGGTTGCAGCGAGCCATTGCGCCATGCACTCCAGGCTGGGTGACTGACTGAGATTCTGACTCAAAAAAAAAAAAAAATCCTATGACAAGGAGAAAGGTCAGATTCCCTGGCAATGGGAGCTGAGGCATGTTCTTGAGAAGGAGGGAGGTTATAAATTAGATGGGGCTGGGTCTCAGAGAGATATAGCTACTTACATATTAAATAATGAGGCTGAGTGTGGCGTCTCACACCTATAGTCCCAGTACTTTGGGAAGCAGAGGCAGGAGGATCCCTTGAGCCTAGGAGTTTGAAACCAGCCTGGGCAACATAGGGAGATTCCATCCCTACCAAAAAAAAAATTAAAAATTAGCCAGGCATAGTGGCCTGCATCTGTGGTCCTAGCTGCTTGGGAGGCTGAGGTGGGAGGATTGCTTGAACCTGGGAGGTCAAGGTACAGTGAGCCACGATTGCACCACTGCACTCCAGCCTGGGTGACAGAGCAAGACCTTGTCTCAAAAAAAGTAATTAATTTATTTATTCAATACGTAGCTCCTGAGACAAAATGTGTGCCGTACTCTAGACCCTGCTGGTGTGCACAATTCATGGGGGATATGTGCGCTAATGGAAGTGTGGCACAGGGCAAGGGTGTCCCCAGAGAAAGCCCTAATCCAGCTTTATGGGTGGTTGTATGAGGCACAGAAGCCTTTCCTGGTTAAGGGATAAATGGATGGGGTTTCAAAGGATGAATAGGAGTTTGCCAAGGACAATGAAGCAAAGATTGACATTCTAAGCATTGGGAGTGTCCTATGCAAAATCCCAAAGTGATGTAGTAGCAAATACTTAAGCACCTACAGTGTGCCAAGCATGTTTCATGTGCTGGAGATACAGAGGAGGAGGAGACAGATGAAACCCCAGCCCTTGTGATATTGTCATCCTAGTAGGTGTGGTGGGGAGATAAACAAGTAGACACCTGCATGAATAAGACTTTCAGATTGTGGTAAACCCTGTGGAGGAAACGAAACAGGTGAAGGAACGGCGTGACTAGGAGCAGGCAGGTGCGGCTGCTTCAGGTAGGGTGGTCAGGGAAGGAGGCGGCATCTGAGCTTTGACCTCAATTTCGAGAATGAGCCAGGAATGCAGAGAGGATTTCAGGCAGAGGAAACCTTAGGGAGGCTGGCGGGTTAAATCTGCAGGGGTGTGGCTGGCCGGAGGAAGTGAGGTGTGAGACAGTCACGTTGATGGTGACAGCAGCAGTGACCGTAGCAGCCTAGAGGTGGCCGAATGCTTACTCTAATGGGCTGGCCCATCCCTGAGTGTCTAGAGTTCCCAGCCCGCTTAAGGAAGGAAGGAAAACACAGGCAGCTCTAAGTGTACGACGAGGGAGGTCTCATCGGCGGTGAGGAAGCCCAGGCGGGTCCCCTTCCCAGCTGAAAGGGGTTCGGGTAGGTTTTTCCTGGGCGTTCCTCTGAGAACAGCCAGCCCTGGTGAGAGTGCGGGGAGAGGCGCTTATGACACAGGGAGGGTGGGTCTGGGAACCAGCCTGGCAGGAGGAGGAGGGAGACTGCCGGTGGCCGGGAGCTGTTTGTTCTCTGGGAGGGATCGTGGCGGGGTGGTTTGTGCAGCCCTTTCCTGAAACCGGAGGAGCCTGGCTCCTTCCCAGGTCTCTGGGGGATGGGTCGGGGCGGGGGGTGGTGACGGGGATAGGACCCCAGACAGACTTGAGTTTGGATCCTGGGTTGGAGCCGGTGACTTCACTCTCAGCTCCCTGAACATCAGGGCCTGCCTTTCTTCCCTCCCTTCCCCTCCCCTCCCCTCCCCTTCCTTCCTTCCTTCCTTCCTTCCTTCCTTCCTTCCTTCCTTCCTTCCCTTCCTTTCCCTTCCCTCCCTCCCTTTATTCTTTTCTTTTTTTCTTTTCTTTTCTTTCTTTCTTGACAGAGTCTTGCTCTGTCGCCCAGGCTGGAGTGCAGTGGCGCGATCTCGGCTCACTGCAAGCTCCGCCTCCCGGGTTCACGCCATTCTCCTGCCTCAGCCTCCCGAGTAGCTGGGACTACAGGCACCCGCCACCGTGCCTGGCTAATTTTTTTGTATTTTTAATAGAGACGGGGTTTCACTGTGTTAGCCAGGATGGTCTCGATCTCCTGACCTCGTGATCTGCATGCCTCGGCCTCCCAAAGTGCTGGGATTACAGGCCTGAGCCACAGTGCCCGGCCTCCTCTTTCTTTTTTTGAGACAGAATCTCACTCTGTCACCCAGGCTGGAGTGCAGAGGTGTGGTCTCGGCTCACTGCAACTTCCGCCTCCCAGGCTCAAGCGATTCTCCTGCCTCAGCCTTCCGAGTAGCTGGGACTACAGGCGCGTGCCACCATGCCCAGCTAATTTTTTGGTACTTGTAGTAGAGACAGGGTTTCACCATGTTGGCCAGGCTGGTTTCAAACCCCTAATCTCCAGTGATCTGCCTGCCTTGGCCTCTCAAAGTGCTGGGATTAAAGGCGTGAGCTACCGTGCCAGGCCGTGGAGTAGCTAAACTTATCTTACACTGCTGAGGTCTCTCAAGATGTGTGTAGGGAGAGAGAGTTGGGGGGAGAGAGAGAGACAAAGGAAAAGAGGAAGAGAGAGACAGGGAGAAAGAGAGGAAGAAAGAGAAAGAGAGAAACAGGAAGAGTGAGAGGAGAAAGAGAGGAAGGGGGAGAGAAAGAGAGATGGGGGAGAAAGAGAGAGAGAGAAGGAGACACAGGAGGGGGAGAGAAAGAGGGAGAGAGCAATGAGAGAGATATGAGACAGAGAAGAGAGAGAGAGGAGACACGGAGGAGGGGGACAGAAAGAGGGAGACAGAGAGATGAGAGAGAGAAAAGACACAGATGAGGGGGAGAGAAAGAGGGAGAGAGAGATGAGAGAGAGATTGATAGCACCCAGCTAATCAATCAGTGGCTTTAGTGCCATGAGCTGGAAGGGAGGAATGGATACTGGGGAACAGTTGGTTGACTTTCCCTGGTGGGACAGCCCCTCTTTCTAGAACTACCTTTCCTATGTCCCCTGTGCTTCTCTCCAGTCCATACTCTACATCTCAGCCAGAAAAGAAGAAATTCTAAAACATGTATCTGCCCGTGACATGACCCTCCTTGGCTCAACACTCTTCAGCGGTACCCAGCGCCCTCTGAGTCAACGCCAAGCTTCCTACCATGGCATTGGAGCCGCGCTCTGGGTCCTTTTACTGATGGCTCCCGCCTCAGCCCTTCCACCCCCTCCCATACCCTGCATGCCAGCCCAGGCAGCCCTCCCTCCTCCCACAATATCTCTCATATGCATTCCTGTCCCATGCCTTCTGCTTAAGCTGTTCCCACAGCCCGGAGTCTCCTCCCTGGCTGAGGGAAATCTTGCCGGCTCACATGGCCGTGATCCCCATCATTTCCTGCAGAAAGCTTGCCCAGCTCTCCGACACGGGGACCTTCTGCCCCTCCTGAGCCCTGAGTCCCCTCCATCTTAACTGGGAGGTCACCTGTTTGCGTGGTGTCTGCTCAGCTTGCAGGCAAGGCCACCAACACCCTCCTTTCCTGTCTTTCCTTCCTACCATCCTCTCCTGTCCACCCTCTGCCTCTCCCTCCCTTCTTCTCTTCTTTCCTTCTAGTTACTGAGCCATGCATGTGTTGCATGCAGCAAGGATGAATAAAATAAAATAAACCTACAGCAATCATTCCAGTTACTATGGCCATATAACAAATTATTCTAAAACTCAGTGGCTTCAGACAAGGATCATATCTATTTTACTCAAAAACCTACCATCTGCACAGGCCTTGGTGGAGGCAGCTTATCTGTGTGCCCTTTGGTGATGGCTGGGGCTGTCAAGAAGCTGGGGCAGTGCTTGGGCTGCAAAGACTCAAATGGCTGGAGTCTGGGACCACTGGAGCTCCTTGCCCCCCTTTGCTTATCTCTACACAGCCACAGGGTCGCTAAACTTACCTTACACTGCTGAGGCCTCTTAAGATGTGTGTAGGGAAAGAGAGTTGGGGGGAGAGGGAGAGAGAGAACAGAGAGAGAGAGACACACACAAGAAGAGAGAGAGGAAGAAAGAAGGAGAGAGAGGAAGAGGAAGGGAGAGGAAGAGAGAGAGAAAGAGAAAGAGGGAGAGAGAGAGGAGAGAAAGAGACAAGAAGAGAGGAAGAAAAAAGAGGAAGAGAGGGATAGAGGAAGACAGAAGGAGGGAGAGGGAGAGAGGAAGAGAGAGGAAAGAGAAAGGAAGGGAAAGAGAGATGTGAGAGAGAGGGAGAGAGAGAGAGAAAAGAGGACAGAGGAAGAGAGAGAGGAAGAGAGAGGGAGAGAGAGGGAGAGAAGACAGAGAGGGAGAGAGGAAGAGAAAAGGAGACAGAGAGAGGAGAGATAGAGAAGAACGAGAAAGGAGAGACAGAATGTGAATGAGAATTGGGTGCCATAAACCCTCTGATGGGGAAAGCAAAGGGCATTGTGGGAGAATCCTCTCAGCACCTGGGACAGCACCCAGTGCTGATCAGGAACATGTTAACAACCAGGAAAATGGTAAAGGCGTGGACAGCCCACCTGGAGTCCAAACAGATGTTCTAACTCCCTTGGGTGTGTCTGGGAATCAGGTAGGAGATCCTCAGAGGAGGAATATGCATGCATTGTTCTCTTTATAATAACCATATTAACAGCCAGCAATGTTCTGGCACTTACTATGGATTAAGTCCTTGTTATGAATGACTTCATGCCATCCTTCCAAATTCAATGACAGGTAGCTGGGCGCAGTGGCTCACGCTTTGTAATCCCAGCACTTTGGGAGGCTGAGGCAGGTGGATCACCTGAAGCCTGGAGTTCAAAACCAGCCTGGCCAACATGGTGAAACCCCGTCTCTACTAAAAATACAAAAATCAGCCAGGTGTGGCGGCGAGCGCCTGTAATCCCAGCTACTCATGAGGCTGAGGCAGGAGAATCGCTTGAACCCAGGAGGCAGAGGTTGCAGTGAGCTGAGATTGCATCACTGCGCTCCAGCCTGGGCATCGGAGAGAGACTCTCAAACAGGAGCTGGCGAACTGTGGCGCACTGCTTATTTTTATAAATAAAGTTTTATGGGAACACAGCTGTGCTCACTTGTTTTCACATCATCTGTGGCTGCTTCCCAGCTCCTCTGGCAGAGGAGGTGCAACAGCCACTGTGTGGATCACAAAGCTGAAATTATTTACTATCTGGCTGTTTGTAGAAAAAGTTTGCTGATCTCTGTCCTGGAAGTCAATGATATTAGGATTTCAGTTTACAGAAAAGGAGAAAAAGACAGGGAAAAACAGTGTTGTTTTTTTTTCAAGGTTGAGAAAATGAACATCTGAACCAATTGCCCATGTTATTAAATGTAAACATTTATTATTATTATTTTTGAGATGGGGTCTTGCTCTGTCACCCAGCCTGGGGTGCAGTGGCACAATCACAGCTCATCATAGCCTTGACCTCCTGGGCTCAAGCAGACCTCCCACCTCAGCCTCCCAAGTAGCTGAGGGTGCAGATGCGTGCCACCAAACCTGCTAATTTTTGTATTTTTTGTAGAGATAAGGTTTTGCCGTGTTGTCCAGGCCGCTCTCAAACTCCTGGGCTCATACTATTCTCCACTTTGGCCTCCCAAAGTGCTGGGATTACAGGCATGAGCCACCATGCCCAGTCTAAAATTTTTCTTTATTTTTAGTTTGGTAAACTATGCATAAAGTAAAATGTACCATCTTAACCATTTTAAGTGTACAATTCAGTGATGTTAAGTATATTCACATTGTTGTGCAACCATCACCACCGTCCACCTTCAGGTCTTTTTTTTATTTTGCAAAACAAACTCTGTATCTATTAAAAAACAGCTTCCCGGCCGGGTGCGGTGGCTCATGCCTGTAATCCCAGCACTTTGGGTGGCCGAGGCAGGTGGATCACCTGAGGTCAGGAGTTTGAGACCAACCTGGCCAACATGGTGAAACCCCGTCTCTACTAAAAATACAAAAATTAGCCGGGTGTGGTGACACGTGCCTGTAGCCCCAGCTACTCGGGAGGCTGAGGCAGGAGAATCGCTTGAACCTAGGAGGCAGAGGTTGCAGTGAGCTGAGATCGCCCACTGCTCTCCAGCCTGGGTGACACAGTGAGACTGTCTCTCAAAAAACAAAACAAAACAAACAAACAAACAAAAACAAATCCTGTGACTTCCCAATCTCATCTCCAGCCCCCTGCAGCCACCACTCTGTTTTCTGTCTCTATGAATTTGACTCCTCCAAGTGCCTCTTATACAGCATTTGGCATTGTGTAACTGGTTTAATACGTTTGAGATGGTGAGAGCTTAAGGTCTACAGGCCTAAGGTTTTTTTTTTTTTGACAGAATTTCACTCTGTCGCCAGGCTGGAATGCAGTAGGGCAATCTCGGCTCACTGCAACCTCCACCTCCCGAGTTCAAGTGATGCTCCTGCTTCGGCCTCCTGAGTAGCTGGGACTACAGGTGAGTGCCACCACATCCAGCTAATTTTTGTATTTTTAGTAGAGACAGGGTTTCACCATGTTGGCCAGGCTGGTATCAATCTCCTGACCTCGTGATCCATCTGTCTCGGCCTCCCAAAGTGCTGGGATTACAGGCGTGAGCCACCGTGCCCGGCCATTGACTAAGGTCTTAAAATAGCTCTTCCTGCCTGTATAATCTCCATTATGGCAGGGCTCATATAAGAAGATGACAGTTCATCTGATGAGGAAGAAAACTTACTCCTAGTTAGATTGGGTTGAATTCTTCCCTGTTTCCAGCGGTGTCTGCTCCTGGCACCTCAGGCACAGTCAGGGGTAGGAGGTGGTGATCAGATACACTCGCTGTGAGCAGTGCAAGGGGAAGCAGGTGCCCAGAGGTGCATCCCGGTTTGGTGGGGGTGACAAACATGGACAGGTAAGTGCAGGAGTGTGTGCAATACTCAATCTAAGAAAGGTAGTTCAGGCAGAGTTCAGGGAAGATATCTCTGTGCAGGGCCAGACATGGGGATGAGATTCTGATAATTTGGGAATGAATCAGGCCCCCAGCCCCTCCTCCCTCAGACTCAGCAGTCCAGGCACCCGGCCCTCCTCCCTCGGACCCAGAAGTCCATGCTCCCAGCCCCTCCTCCCTTGGACCCAGGAGTCCAGGCCCCCAGCCCCTCCTCCCTCAGACCCAGGAGTCCAGGCCCCCAGCCGCCTTCTCCTGCAGGACCCCAGGAGCTTGGGTACCCACAGGCTACTAGATCCTTGTTTCTGTGCATGGAAATTCTCAAATTATCTCCAAAAGTCTATGAAGAAGGTAAACACACATTTCCAGATGAGGGAATAGGCTGATATAGTTGAAAGACACACAGAGGGTCACAGTCTGGAATTGACAGTGGTGGGATTCGAACCTATTTCACTCCAGAACTGCGTAGCGCCTTATACGCTGCGGCAAGTGTGACGTCATTCGAACAAACCATAGGCCCCGCCCCCGGACTAGCCACGCCCACAGGCTCCTGAAACCACCAATCCCAGCTGTGACAGCGCTCAGGACCGATGCTCATAGGTCCCGTCCCTAGGATCCCCGCCCCCTCCGCCCGCGCCCCGCCCCTCGCAGCCCAGTTCCGGACGCGGGCCCAGCCGCGCCTGCGCCTCCGCTCGCCTGTGGCTGCGTCGCGCGCTCTTCCTCGGAGCTACCCAGGCGGCTGGTGTGCAGCAAGCTCCGCGCCGACCCCTGACGCCTGACGCCTGTCCCCGGCCCGGCATGAGCCGCTACCTGCTGCCGCTGTCGGCGCTGGGCACGGTAGCAGGCGCCGCCGTGCTGCTCAAGTGAGTACATTCTAGCCCCGCGTGCGCGGTCAAGGCGGGCCCCCAGCGCAGGGGCCGGGAAGGCGGCGGAGACCCCCGCCCCTCGCACCCGGGTCCAGGCCCCGTAGCTCCCGACCCGCAGTGCCCGCCCGGAGTGGGGCAAACCTGCGCTCTGGCCGGCCAGGTCACCGGCCCAAGGTCACTCGGAGGGAAGGGCGAGCCTGGGCCCTTGTAAATGTTGCTTTCCTTCCAGACTTTTAAACTCTTTATTTTGTTGTTTTGTATTATTTATTTGTTCGTTTATTTTTAAAGGCAGAATCTGGCTCTGTCGCCCAGGCTGGAGTGCAGTGGCGCGATCTTGGCTCACTGCAGCCTTGACCTCCTGGGCTCAGGTGATCCTCCCACCTTGGCGTCCCCAGGAGCTGAGATCACACGTGCGCCACCACGCCCGGCTAATTTTTGTATTTTTCGCAGAGACGGGGTTTTGCCATGTTGGCCAGGCTGGTCTCAAACACCTGCCCTCAGGTGATCCGCCTGCCTCGGCCTCCAAAGTGCTGGGATTACAGACGTGAGCCACCTCGCCCAGCCTACTTAATTTAAACTTTCTTAAAAATTAGCCTCTGTGGCTGGTGGCCACTGTATTGCATGGTGCCCTTCTCTCCTGTGGGTGCAGTGCTGTTTACCTGCTCAGCCTCCTGTTGCTGGACACTATCTTGTTGCCAGCGTTAGCCTCTGTGGGACATGGGTGTGGTGGGCAGAGTCGTGACTCCGTAGAGGGGTCCACGTCCTAATCCTCGGAAGGTGTGACGACATTACCTCACGTGTCAGAGGTTCTCGCTGATGTGTTAAGTGAAGCATCTTTTTTTTTTTTGAGACAGAGTTTCGCTGTTGTTGCCCAGGCTGGAGTGCAATGGCACGACCTCGGCTCACCACAACCTCCACCTCCCGGGTTCAAGCGATTGTCCGGCCTCAGCCTCCTGAGTAGCTGGGATTACAGGCATGTGCCACCACGCCTGTCTAATTTTGTATTTTTAGTAGAGACGAGGTTTCTCCATGTTGGTCAGGCTGGTCTTGAGCTCCCGACCAAAGGGGATCTGGCCACCTTGGCCTCCCAAAGTGCTGGGGTTACAGGCGTGAGCCACCGTGCCCGGCCAAGTGAAGGATCTTATGATTATCATGTAGTCTTTTTTTTTTTTTGGAGACAGGGTCTCTCTGTCACCCAGGCTGGAGTGCAGTCATGCTGTCACAGCTCACTGCAGCCTCACCCTCCCTGGGCTCAGGTGGTCCTCCCACTTCAGCCTCCCGAGTAGCTGACTCTACAGGCGTGCACCACCAAGCCCTGCTAATTTTTGTATTTTTAGTAGAGATGGGGTGTCAGCATGTTGGCCATGGCTGGTCTCGAACTCCTGACCTCAAGTGATCCTCCTGTCTTGGCCTCCCAAAGTGCTGGGATTACAGGTGTGAGGCACTGTGCCGGTCCTGCCTTGTAGTCTTATAGGGTCCTTATAAGAGGGAGCAGGAGGCTCAGTCAGAGGGGAGATGGAAGATAGAAGGAGAGGTTGTTGGGTGTGGTGGCTCACGCCTGTAATCGCAGCACTTTGGGAGGCCAAGGCAGGCGGATCACAAGGTCAGGAGTTCGAGACCAGCCTGACCAACGTGGTAAAACTCTGTCTCTACTAAAAATACAAAAGAAATTAGCCAGGTGTGGTGGCATGTGCCTGTAATCCCAGCCACTCAGGAGGCTAAGGCAGGAGAATCGCTTGAACCTGTGAGGCGAAGGTTACAGTGAGCTGAGATTGAGCCACTGCACTCCAGCCTGGGCGACAGAGCGAGACTCTGTCTCAAAAATAAATAAGTAAATAAATAAATAAATAAAGGAGAGGTTCCAGTGAGGATGCAGGTTGAAGATGGAGGCGGGGCCAAGAGTGGAGGAATGTGGCGGTCTGTAGGAGCTGGAAGTGGATTCTTCCCTAGAGCCTCCAGAAGGAACCTGACTCTACCAATACCTTGATTTATTCCAGTGAGACATGTTTTGGACTCTTGACCTGCCGAACTGGAGGAGGATGCACTTATGTGGTTTTAAGCCACTAAGTCTGTGGTAATGCGTACAGCAGCCTTGGGAATCTCGTGCAGCGGGCATTTTAAATTTAAATTTAAATTTTTTTGAGACAGAGTCTCGCTCTGTTGCCCAGGCTGGCACCATTTCGACTCACTGCAACCTCCGCCTTCCAGGTTCAAGCAATTCTCGTGCCTCAGCCCCCTGAGTAGCTGAGATTACAGGTGTGCACCACCACGCCTGTGAAGGGGTGGCCTGCCCCTCCACACCTGTGGGTATTTCTAGTTGGGTGGGACGAGAGACTGAGAAAAGAAATAAGACACAAAGTATAGAGAAACAACAGTGGGCCCAGGGGACCGGCGCTCAGCATACCAAGGACCTGCACCGGCACCGGCCTCTGAGTTCCCTCAGTTTTTACTGATTATTATCTTCATTATTTCAGCAAAAAGGAATGTAGTAGGAGAGCAGGGTGATAATGAGGTCAGCAAAAACCATGTGAGCAAAAGAATCTATGACATAATTAAGTTCAAGGGAAGGTACTATGCCTGGACGTGCACGTAGGCCAGATTGATGTTTCTCTCCACCCAAACATCTCAGCGGAGTAAAGAATAACAAGGCAGCATTGCTGTAAACATGTCTCGCCTCCCGCCATAGGGCGGCTTTTCTCCTGTCTCAGAATTGAACAAATGTACAATCAGGTTTTATACCGAGACATTCAGTTCCCAGGGTCAGGCAGGAGACAGTGGCCTTCCTCTCTCTCAACTGCAAGAGGCTTTCCTCTTTTACCAATCCACCTCAGCACAGACCCTTTACGGGTGTTGGGCTGGGGGACGGTCAGGTCTTTCTCATCCCACGAGGCCATATTTCAGACTATCCCACGGGGAGAAACCTTGGACAATACTCTGTGTTCAAGGGCAGAGGTCCCTGCAGCTTTCTGCAGTGCATCGTGCCCCTGGTTTATTGAGACTAGAGACTGGCGATGACTTTTACCAAGTATACTGCTTGGAAACATTGTGTTAACAAGGCACTTCCTGCACAGCCCTAGATCCCTTAAACCTTGATTTCATACAACACAGGTTTTTGTGAGCTCCAGATTGGGTCAAAGTGGCTGGGTCAAAGCTACAAATTAACAACATCTCAGCAAAGCAATTGTTCAAAGTACAGGTCTTTTTCAAAATGGAGTCTCTTATGTCTTTCCTTTCTATATAGACACAGTAACAGTCTAATCTCTCTTTTCCCTACACATCTGGCTAATTTTTGTATTTTAAGTAGAGACGGGGTCTCGCCATGTTTGCCAGGCTGGACTCGAACTCCTGACCTCAAGTGATCCGCCCCCGCCCCCCCCCACCCCCAAAACTTTGGCCTCCCAAAGTGCTGGGATTACAGGTGCAAGCCCCCTCACCTGGCCGGGAATCTCATGCAGTGAGCATTTATAAAATAATGACTGTCACTTGCTGAAGGCGTTCCACACGCCAGACACTGGGTGGAGCCACTTATGGAGAACATGACAGAGGTCCCTTGGTGTGATGTGATGATGTCTGTGTTTCAGTTGGGGTATGTGAGTGAGCTCAGACAAGGTTGCCTGAGATCATTCAGTCAGGGGCACGTGGGGTGAGAGTGGGCCCACAGGACTGACCGTGCCGCTTCTCACCCTCAGGGACTATGTCACCGGTGGGGCTTGCCCCAGCAAGGCCACCATCCCTGGGAAGACGGTCATCGTGACGGGTGCCAACACAGGCATCGGGAAGCAGACCGCCTTGGAACTGGCCAGGAGAGGTAAAATCTCCCCTGCTTTGGCTCTCAGAGAGATATCTGTACATCCATGCTCACTGCAGCATTATTCACAGTCCGGAGGTGGAAGGAACCCAGGCACCCATCCACAGATGAACAGGGAAACAGAATGTGGCTTCTATAGACAGGGGCATATGATTCAGCCTTAAAAAGGAAGGGCATTCTGGCCGGGCGCGGTGGTGCACGCCTGTAATCAGTACTTTGGGAGGCCAAAGCTGGCGGATCACGAGGTCAGGAGTTCGAGACCAGCCTAACCAACATGGTGAAACCCCCTCTCTACTAAAAATACAAAAATTAGCCAGGAGTTGTGGTGGGCACCTGTAGTCCCAGCTGCTTGGGAGGCTGAAGCAGGAGAATCGCTTGAACCTGAGAGGCAGGGGTTGCAGTGAGCAGAGATGGCGCCACGGCACTCCAGCCTGGGTGACAGAGTGAGACTCAAAAACAAAACAAAACAAAGCAAAACAAAAAAAAGGGCATTGAAACAGATGAACCTTGAGGACATTCCATGAAGTGAAATAAGCCAGTCGACAGAAGAGCAAATACGGTATGATTCCACTTACAGGAGCTACCTACAGTTAAATTCATAGAGAAGTTGGAATGGTGCTTGCCAGGGGTCAGGAGGGGAGGGGAGAATGGGGAGTTACTGTTTAATGGAAACGGAAGTTTAGTTTGGCAAGATGAAACAATTTGAGAGATGGATGGTTGTAATGGTTGCACAACATTAGGAATTATTATTATTGTTTTTTTTTTTTTGAGATGGAGTTTTGCTCTTGTCGCCCAGGCTGGAGTGCAGTGGCATGATCTTGGCTCACTGCAACCTTCGCCTCCCGGGTTCAAGCAATTCTCCTGCCTCAGCCACCCGAGTAGCTGGGATTACAGGCATGCAACACCACACCCAGCTAAGTTTGTAATGTGTTGGCCAGGCTGGTCTTGAACTCCTGACCTCAGGTGATCCACCTGCCTTGGTCTCCCAAAGTGCTGGGATTACAGGTGTGAGCCACCATGCCCGGCCCAGCCATAAATGTTTTTAATACCAATGAACTGGACACTTAAAAATGGCTAAGAGGGCGGGTCTCGGTGGCTCACATCTATAATTCCAGCACTTTTGGAGGCTGAGGCAGGAGGATCACTTGAGGCCAGGGGTTCCAGACCAGCCTGGACACCATAGCAACACCCCCATCTCTACCAGAGTTAGCCAGGCATGCTGGCACAGGTGGTACCTATAGTCCCAGGTCACTTGAGCCTAGGAGTTCAAGGCTGAATGAGCTGTGATGGCGCCAGCACTC
Organism: Homo sapiens; assembly: GCF_000001405.40. NCBI lineage: Eukaryota > Metazoa > Chordata > Mammalia > Primates > Hominidae > Homo > Homo sapiens. The sequence continues at coordinate 770,016 of NW_003571061.2, read as the reverse complement.
CAGCCGCGGCAGCAGAGTGAGACTGACTCAAAAAAAAAAAAATAATAATAAACAAAAAGAAAAGGGGGTTAAGATGATAAATTTTAAGTGATTTGTATTTTACCACAACAAAAAAAATTGGAGGCTGGGCATTGTGGCTTATTTGTAATCCCAGTACTTTGGGAGGCCGCGGGGTGGATCACCTGAGGTCAGAAGTTCAAGACTAGCTTGGCTAACATGGTGAAACCGCTGTCTCTACTAAAAATAAAAAAATAAAAAATTAGCTAGTTGTGGTAGGTGCCTGTAATCCCAGCTACTCGGGAGGCTGAGGCAGGAGAATTGCTTGAACCCAGGAGGTGGAGGTTGCAGTGAGCCGAGATTGCGCCACCGCACTCCAGCCTGGGTGACAGAGTGAGACTCCATCTAAAAAAAAAAAAAAAAGGAGAGGATGGGGAATCCTCTTGCCTTGGCCTCCCAAAGTGCTGGAATTACAGGTGTGAGCCACCGTGCCCGACCAATTCAGTGATGTTTAGTATAGTCACAGAATGATGCAACCATCTTTAAAATCAATCTTAGAACATCTGTTACCCTAGAAAGAAACCTGCTCACTGTAACTATCAAGCTGTAATTCCCTCTCCCCACCCCCTGCCCTAGAAAACCAAGAATCTATTTTCTTTCTCTATGGATTTGCCTATTCTGGGCGTTTCATAGGTGTGAAATCATATACATAGAATTCATGTAAATGGGATTGTACGCTGTGTGGTCTTTCGTGTCTGGTTTCTTTCCCCGAGCACAGTGTTTCTGACGGTCATCCTTGCTGTAGCATGAGCCAGTGCTTCACTCCTTTTCACGGCCGTCTAATATTCCATCTCTATGGATGGACCACATTTTGTTGTCCCTTCATCCACAGATGGGCATTTGGTTGTTTCTACCTTTTGGCTTTTGTGAAGAATGCCGCAGTGAACATTGGTGGATGTGTTTTTGTGTAGACGTATGTTTTCATGTCTCTGGGGTCAGTACCCAGGAGTGGATTATTAATTTAAATCTTTTTCCATCCTGGGTTTTCAGGAGGCAACATCATCCTGGCCTGCCGAGACATGGAGAAGTGTGAGGCGGCAGCAAAGGACATCCGCGGGGAGACCCTCAATCACCATGTCAACGCCCGGCACCTGGACTTGGCTTCCCTCAAGTCTATCCGAGAGTTTGCAGCAAAGATCATTGAAGGTAGGAGAACGCTGGCCATGTGGGATGAGGACTGGGATAGGCGGCTCCCAGGGCCAGGCTCTGAGAAGTGAATGAAGCAAGCAAACTTTAGAGCAGAGTTTTGGCAAACTATGAGTTAGGGGCCAAGTCCAGTTGCTGCCTTTTTTTGTACAGCCTGCAAGCAACGACTTTATTTATTTATTACTACTGTTATTTTGAGAGGGAGTCTCACTCTGTCGGCCAGGCTGAGTGCAATGGCGCGATCTCGGCTCACTGTAACCTCTGCCTCCTGGGTTCAAGCGCGGACCTCAGCCTCCTGAGTAGCTGGGATTAAGATGCCTGCTACCATACCCTGCTAATTTTTGTATTTTTAGTAGAGACGGGGTTTCACCACGTTGGCCAGGCTGGTCTGGAACTCCTGACCTCAGGTGATTCTCCTGCCTCAGCCTCCCAGAGTGCTGGGATTACAGGCGTGGGCCACTGCGCCCGGCTGACTTTGTTTTGTTTGTTTGTTTTGAGACAGATGGGGTCTCGCTCTGTTGCCCAGGCTGGAGTGCAGTGGTGTGATCTTGCCTCACTGCAACCTCCGTCTCCCGATTTCAAATGATTCTCCTGCTTCAGCCTCCTGAGTAGCTGGGATTACAGGCACCCGCCACCGTGCCTGGCTAATTTTTTGTGTTTTAGGTAGAGACAGGGTTTCACCATGTTGGTCAGGCTGGTCTCGAACTCCTGACCTCAGGTGATCTGCTTCCCTTGGCCTCCCAAAGTGCTGGGATTACAGGTGTGAGCCACCGTGCCCTACCTGAATAATTAGTTTGTTTGAGACAGGATCCATCTCTGTCACCCAGGCTAGAGTGCAGTGGTGCAGTCATGGCTCACTGCAGTCTCAACCTGCTGGGCTCAAGGGATCCTCCCACTTCAGCCTCCCAAGTAGCTGGGAGTACAGGCATACGCCACCACACACAGCTAATTATTGTTTTATTGTTTTGTTTTGTTTTTAGAGCTGGGGTTTCACCATGTTGCTCAGGCTGGTCTCCAACTCCTGGGCTCAAGTGATCCACCCAGGTCAGCTTCCCACAGTGCTGGGATTACAGGCGTGAGCCACCGCACCTGACCTTATTAAGCATTTATTGATCAAGTGCCTTCCCCACCATGGTTAAAGAAATATGTGTTTGTTATGGGACATTTATAAAATACTGCAATGTAAAGAAGACAGAACTGGCTGGGCACAGTGGCTCACGCCTGTTAATCCCAGCACTTTGGGAGGCTGAGGCAGGTGGATCCCTTGAGGTCAGGAGTTCGAGACCAGCCTGGCCAACATGGTGAAACCCTGTCTCTACTAAAAATACAAAAATTAGCCAGGCGTGGTGGTGCACACCTGTAATCTCAGCTACTCAGGGTGCTGAGGCAGGAGAATTGCTTGAACCCAGGAGGCGGAGGTTGCAGTGAGCTGAGATTGTGCCAGTGCACTCCAGCCTGGGTGACAGAGTGAGACTCTGTCTCAATAAAAAAGAAGACAGAACTAAACAACTTTGATCTGCACCAGCCCCAGGAGAATCACTTTTATGGATCTTTCTAGTCTTGTTTATAATAGGTTTGTGTGTGTATTTATATATTTTTATGTAAAACTGGGACCATCCTCTAGCTTTTCTATTCTTGTTCATCTTTAAATAGACTCAAGAATACACTAAAATTATTTATTGTTTAGTTGACATGTATACTTGTATATATTATGTACAGCATGATGTACATTGTATACATTGTAGAATGGCTAAATCAAGCTAATTAACATATGCATTACCTCAAATACTTACCTGTTTTTGTGGTGACCACATTTAAAATCTCTTCTCTTAGGATTGCTTGAGCTCAGGAGTTAGAGACCAGCCTAGGAAGCATAGTGAGACCTTGTGTGTACCAAAGATTAAAAAAAAAAAAAAATTAGCCGGGCATCCTGGCATGTGCCTACAGTCCCAGCTACTCAGGAGGCTGAGGCAAGAGGATCACTTGAGCCCGAGAGTTCAAGGCTGCAGTGAGCCGTATTTGTGCCACTGCACTCTAACCTGGATGACAGAGCAAGACCTTTTTTTTGAGATGGAGTCTTGCTCTGTCACCCAGGCTGGAGTGCAATGATGCGATCTTGGCTCACTGCAGCCTCCGCCTCCTGGGTTCAAGCGATTCTCCTGCCTCAGCCTCCCAAGACTATAGGCGGGTGCCACCATGCCCGGCTAATTTTTGTATTTTTAGTAGAGACGGGGTTTCACTATGTTGGCCAGGCTGGTCTCGAATTCCTGACCTTGTGATCCGCCTGCCTCAGCCTCCCAAAGTGCTGGGATTACAGGCATGAGCCACCATGCCCAGCTGCTTTGTTTCTTTTCTAGTCTGGCACTGAAAGGGCCAAAGCTTTCTTCTTCAGAGTCAATGTGCCCCGCTCAGTAAACGGGTACTCAGGAAATGAACAAGGAATGGGGGAGTTGTGGGACCTCATTTATTTAGCAGACGTGATCTCAGACCTGACCAGGTGCTGGAGGTGTGAGATGAACCAGAGCTGTCCTTGTGCCACTCACAGCCCTAGGGAGGCAGGTGCAGGTGCACATTCGTTGGTTCATTCATTCATTCATACTGAGCCCCTGCTGTGCCCTTGGGGATCAAGAAAGAGCCGGCACTGTTGTCGGGTAGGTGAGAGGCACTACGGTGAGATCACAAAGAACAGTGAGAGGGCAATGCCTCAGAGTCTCAGAGGTGGATGAACATTTATTAAGCACCTGCTGTGTACCAGGTACAGCACTGTCACCTTCATGCACACTGTCCCAGGCAATCCCACCCAGGGCGCCTCTGATCCTGTCTCTGGCTTGTGGACACAGGTGTCCGGAGCACTGAGGTCCCTGAGACAGTGAGGACCCCGGCTGGACACACCTGGGCAGGTGATGCCTCCTCTCTTAGCCACACGTTCCTCTTCCGGGAAATGGAATAATTCCTTCTATTTTCTGGGATTCTCTAGAGGGGTTTTTTTTTTTTTCTGAGACGGTATCTTGCTTTGTCGCCCAGGCTGGAGGACAGTGGCACATCTCGGCTCACTCCAAGCTCCGCCTCCCGGGTTCATGCCATTCTCCTGCCTCAGCCTCCCGAGTGGCGGGGGACTACAGGCGCCTGCCACCACGCCCGGCTAATTTTTTATATTTTTTACTAGAGACGGGGTTTCACCGTGTTAGCCAGGATGGTCTCGATCTCCTGACCTCATGATCCAGCCACCTCGGCCTCCCAAAGTGCTGGGATTACAGGCATGAGCCACCACGCCCAGCCTCTCTAGAGGATTAAGTAAAGCTGTGTCTGTGACTTTTTTAGCAAATCAAGTACCAGCTTCTTGGTGTTTTCCTAAGATCAACAGCCAGGAATAAAGACAGCAGTGGATTTAAAAATAGTGAAGATCGTCCATTTTATGTGGTGTGTATTCTACCACACTGGGGCAGGCCAGGTGCAGCGGTTCACGCCTGTCATCCCGGCACTTTGGGAGACAGAAGTTTTGGGAAGATCAGTTTGTGAGATGACACTCTGACAAAGCTGGAAGCTGTGGCTCTTCCCAGCTCCCGACTAGAAAGAACACAAAGCAAAGAGCCCCAGGAAGCAGGTACCCACAGCCTTGTTTATCAGGGAGTTTGAGATCAGCCTGGGCAACATAGCAAGACCTCATCTCTACAAAAAATACAAAACAATCAGGCAGGCGTGCAGGCTCACGCCTGTAATCCCAGCACTTTGGGAGGCTGAGGCGGGCGGATCACAAGGTCAGGAGATCGAGACCATCCTGGCCAACACGGTGAAACCCCGTGTCTACTAAGAAACACAAAAAAATTAGCCGGGCGTGGTGGCGGGCACCTGTAACCCAGCTACTTGGGAGGCTGAGGCAGGAGAATGGCGTGAACCCGGGAGGTGGAGCTTGCAGTGAGCCGAGATGGCGCCACTGCACTCCAGCCTGGGTGACAGAGTGAGACTCCATCTCAAAAAAAAAATAAAAAACAATGAGGCAGGCGTGATGGTGTGCACTTGTAGTCCCAACTACTTGGGAGGTGGAGGTGGGAGGATTGCTTGAGCCTGGGAGGTTGAGGCTGCAGTGAGGGATTTTTTTTTTTTTTTTTTAAGACGGAGTTTTGCTCTTGTTGCCCAGGCTGGTGCAATGACGGGATCTTGGCTCACGGCATCCTCCACCTCCTGGGTTCAAGTGATTCTCCTGCCTCAGCCTCCCGAGTAGCTGGGATTACAGGCATGCGCCACCACGCCCGGCTAATTTTGTATTTTTAGTAGAGACGGGGTTTCTTCCTGTTGGTCAGGCTGCAACCTCCATCTCCTGGTTTCAAATAATTCTCCTGCCTCAGCCTCCTGAGTAGCTGGGATTACAGGCACCTGCCACCATGCCCGGCTACTTTTTTGTTTTAGGTAGAGACAGGGTTTCACCATGTTGGTCAGGCTGGTTGACCTCAGGTGATCTGCCCGCCTCGGCCTCCCAAAGTGCTGGGATTACAGATGTGAGCCACCACGCCCGGCCTGCAGTGAGCTTTGATTGTACCACTGCACTCGGGGTGAGACCCTGTGTCCAAAAAAAAAAAAAAAAAAAAAAAGTTGAGGCAGTTCCCAGATAAACAAAACAACAGGCCAGGCACTGTGGCCCACGCCTGCAATCCCAGCACTTTGGGAGGCCGAGGTGGGCGAATTGCCTAAGCTCAGAAATTCGAGACCAGCCTAAGCAACATAGCCAAACCCCATTTCTACAAAAAATTTTAAAAGTAGCTGCTTGTGGTGTCGGGCGCCTGTGGTTCAGCTATGTGGAAGGCTGAGGTGGGAGGATCGTTTGAGCCCTGGCGGCGGAGGTTGCTGTGAGCTGAGATCGCGCCACTGCACTCCAGCCTGGGCCACTGAGTGAGCTTCCCTCTCATAAAAAGAAAAAAAAAAAAACAGGCTGGGCGCGGTGGCTCACACCTGTAATCCCTGCACTTTGGGAGGCAGAGGCGGGTGGATCACGAGGTGAAGAATTCAAGACCAGCCTGACCAAGATGGTGAAACCCCGTCTCTACTAAAAATGCAAAAATTAGCAGGGTGCGGTGGCGGGCACCTGTAATCCCAGTACTCGGGAGGCTGAGGCAGCAGAATCGCCTGAACCCAGGCGGTAGAGGTTGCAGTGGGCCATGGGCCAAGATCACACCACTGCACTCCAGCCTGGGTGGCAGAGTGAGACTTCATCTCAAAAAAAAAAAGAAAAAAAACCAAAACAAAACACCAGAAGCTGGCGGCACTCCTGGGCGCCCAGCTGTGAGTGGAGTCTCCCTGTCCCGCCTTTGGGCCTTACCCGTGCTGCGCCTGCTGCCTGCATCCCCCTTCCCTGGGTCTCCGCACGTGGGCCCTGCCTCATTTTCCCGGTCCCAGTTTCTGCGTCACCTCCTGAGAGGGGCCTCCTGTCAGCTTCCACGCAGCTCTGTCACGGGTAGATTCTCTCACGAGTGGAAGTGGCTCTCAGCTGCACTGGAATGTCCGGTCCACACGGACGGGGCCTCGGCTGTGCTGTCCACCCTGTATTTCCAGTGCCCAGTAATAGGTGCTTAGAAAATACTTACTGAATGAGTAAGTATACAGTTGTACCAGGCAGGTGATGTTATTATCCTTTTTTTTTTTTTTTTTTTACAAGGAGTAAACTGAGTCACAGAGAAGTGATGTGACTTGGCCAGGATCATGCAGCTGGTCGGGGTGGAGCCAGGCTTTGAACCTGTCTGTCCTGCTCCAGAGCTGGTATTCATGACGGGTGTGCTGCAACCCCCTCCTTCTCACACAGAGAACCAGATGGTGTCTGTGTGTTACGCGCTGGACACCTAATTCACGATCCCCGCCGAAAACCACTTCGGGAGCATTATGAATTCCATTGTGTCCTCCACCCCCAAGGATAGGTTGGGATCCTGAACCCCCATCCCTCAGCATGTGACTTCATTTAGAGGTGGGTGTTTACAGAGGTCCTGAAGTGAAAATGAGGTCATTAGGGTGGGCCCTAATCCAGTGACTGGTGTCCTTATGAAAAGGGGAGATTTGCGCACAGAAACAGACGTGCTAGCTGGGCATGGTGGCGCATGCCTGTGGCCCCAGCTACTTGGGAGGCTGAGCAAGAAGACTGCTTGAGCCTGGGAGGTTGAGGCTGCAGTGAGCAGTGATTGCGCCACTGTACTCCAGCCCAGGTGTCAGAGGGAGACCCTGTCTCAAAGAAATATAAAAAATAGGCCAAGTAGACTGAGTGTGGTGGCTCACGCCTGCAGTCCCAGCACTTTGGGAGGCTGAGGTAGGTGGATCACGAGGTCAGGAGTGTGAGACTAGCCTGGCCAACATGGTGAAGCCCCGTCTCTACTAAAGATACAAAAAATTAACCCGGTGTGGTGGTGGATGCCTGTAGTCCAGCTACTTGGGAGGCTGAGGCAGGAGAATTGTTTGAACCTGGGAGGCAGAGGTTGCAGTGAGCCAAGATCGCACCATTGCACTCCAGCCTGGGTGACAAGAGTGAAACTCCATCTCCCCCCCCCAAAAAAAAAAAAATAGGCTGGGGGCAGTGAAATTGCAGCACTCTGGGAGGCCAAAGCAGGAGGATTGCTTGAGTTCAAGAGTTTGAGACCAGCCTGGGCAACATAGTGAGACCATGTCTGAAAAATCTAAAATTAAAAAAGGAAAAATGAAAAAAAAAAAAGAGACAGCTCCAAAGGGAAGAGGAAGGGAAGAGGGAGAGAGGAGATGGTCACCTGTGAGCCAAGGAGAGAGACCAGAGCGGATCCTCCCTGAGGGCCCTGAGAGGGAACCAGCCCTGCCCACACCTTGATCTGGGACTTCCAGCCTCTGGGACTGTGATTTTTTTTTTTTTTTTTGAGATGGAGTTTTGCTTTTATTGCCCAGGATGGAGTGTAATGATGCGATCTCGGCTCACTGCACCCTCTGCCTCCTGGTTTCAAGCGATTTTCCCGCCTCAGCCTCCTGAGTAGCTGGGATTACAGGTGCATGCCACCACGCCTGGCTAATTTTGTATTTTTAGTAAAGACGCGGTTTCTCCATGTTGGCCAGGCTGGTCTCAAACTCCTGACCTCAGGTGATCTGCCCACCTCGGCCTCCCAAAGTGCTGGGATTACAGGCGTGAGCCACTGTGCCCGGCCAGGTCTGTGAGGTTTTAAACCACCTGTCTGTGGCACTTTGTTACGGAACCCGAGCTGAGTGGTACAGGGAGGAAGGCCCTGTGGTTCAGCGCATTTTACAGCTGAGGAAACTGAGGCTGCAGTCTCCATCTGTGTGTCCTTTGGTTGCTTGTATGAGTGAGGTGGCAGGTTTGGGAATGAAACCACGCCTGCGGTGCCGGGGCTCCCACCGGTAACCTCCCGTTTTTGGCCTCGGGGCTCCGGCAGGAAGGAGTCCCAAGGCTTAGATGGAGGTGCGGAGGGCGTGTGAGTGTCCTGGAGCTGCTGTAACAATGTACTGCAAACCCAGTGGCTTACACCCTCAGACGTGCATTCCCTCACGGTTCCGGAAGCCGGCAGTCTGAATCGCGGTGTCCCTGTGGCTGTGACCTGTGAGACGGGCCATAATCCTCCCAGCCTCTTCCACTTCCAGCGGGGGCGGCCCACCCTCACCTTGGAGCTGTGCCTCTCCGGTCTTTGCCTCTGTCCACACATGGCCTTCTCCCCATGTGTCTCTGTCTCTGTTTTCCCTTCCTATAAGGACACCAGTCATTGGATTAGGGCTCACCCTAATGACCGCATCCTGACATGGCCACTTCGGCACAGACCCTGTTTCCGGCACAGGCCACATTCACAGGTTGTGGGAGCACAGGAGTGTTTCTGCTGGTGCATCAGGCTGGGGTCTGTCCTCACCGGGATGTCTCCTCCTCCACCCCTCTCTTCCAGAGGAGGAGCGAGTGGACATTCTAATCAACAACGCGGGTGTGATGCGGTGCCCCCACTGGACCACCGAGGACGGCTTCGAGATGCAGTTTGGCGTTAACCACCTGGGTGAGGCCTGGGCAGGGGCTGCACCATGGGTTCAAGCGATCCTCCCCCGTCGTCCTCCCAAAGTGCTGGGATTTTAGGTGTGAGTCAAAAGTGACCTTTTCATCATCCTTAATCCAGGTCACTTTCTCTTGACAAACTTGCTGCTGGACAAGCTGAAAGCCTCAGCCCCTTCGCGGATCATCAACCTCTCGTCCCTGGCCCATGTTGCTGGGCACATAGACTTTGACGACTTGAACTGGCAGACGAGGAAGTATAACACCAAAGCCGCCTACTGCCAGAGCAAGCTCGCCATCGTCCTCTTCACCAAGGAGCTGAGCCGGCGGCTGCAAGGTACGGGGGCGCTAGGCTCGGCCTCCCTCTTGCTTTACTCTGAGCCTAGAGCGGCCTTTCCATGATCCTAGGCTGATGGGAGGCCAAACGGTGGATCCAGAACAGAGTCAGCAAAAGTAGAGCATGTGGACCACGCTGCCCGCTTCTGGTGCCTGAAGCAGACATCACTAATCGATCGTTCTTCTGAGGATTGTCTGTTCATCCCAGGTGGTCTAGTCTGCCTGGATCAGATGTCCTTCCCTGCTGCTGTTGGGCAGGCAGCTCAGCCTTTTGGCTCCAGCCAGTGAGTCTCAACCAGGGGCAGTTTTGACCCGCAGTTGTCAATGCCTGGAAACACAGTGATCACAGCTGGCTTGGGGAGAGATTGCTCTGGGCATCTGGAGGGTAAAGGCCCAGATGCTCTCAATGTCCTACAGCGCACGGGATGGCCCCTCACTCCTCCCAACCCACAGCATCCACAGTGCTGAGATTGAGAAATCTGTGCTAGGCCTTTGCTTCTGAAAGACGGTCTGTGGACCAGCGGTGCCAGCCCCACTGGGAGCTGGTCAGAGTTACAGTATCTTAGGTCCCACCGCCACGCACCGATGCAGGCTCCCGGGGTAAGCTCAGCGTTCTGGGTTTATGAAGCCCTCCAGGAAAGCTCGGCTCCCAGCAGCCATGTGGCAGAGCCGCTCCGCAAGATAAGACCACTTCACTAAGATTCCAGAGCAAGAGGGACGATGGGGTTTGAGTGCAGGAAGCAGCCTGGTGCCCGGAAGCCCCACAGCTGGGTGTGGGCTGCCACAGCCTCCCAGGTGAGGCTGGACCCCTCCCTCAGTCTTCTCTTTCTTTCTTCCCCAGGCTCTGGTGTGACTGTCAACGCCCTGCACCCCGGCGTGGCCAGGACAGAGCTGGGCAGACACACGGGCATCCATGGCTCCACCTTCTCCAGCACCACACTCGGTGAGTCCCCTCCCAGCCTGGGGTCTCCACGTGGAGCCCTCCACCCCTGCTTTCTCAGCCCAGGGCCCAGGACCCTCCCTCAGAGACCGTCCCTGAGGCCTCATGCCTGCTCCTCGCCTACGTCTTCTGAGGCACAGAGCACAGGTCCCTTTCCTCCGTTGACCTGGCCTGCCAGCCTCTAACAGCCCCGGGAAGCAGGCAGAGCCCTGCTGGCGGATGAGAAAACCGTGTCTCAGAGGAAGAGGCCGTGGAGCTGACGCCTGGAGTCAGGCTGTACTCAGGGTAACTCCAGCTTCACCCCAAACCAGCTGCACCTCCTGGGGAAGAGCTGTTACCCCTCTGAGCCTGTTTCTTCATCTGCAGAGTGCAGGCCTTAATAGGACTCACCTCACAGTCACTGGGGGGGTTATACGAGACCTTCCTTGAAAGGGCCAGCACAGGACCCCGCCCAGAGAATAGGTGGAACAAACAGTTGGAGCTTTACTTACTTATTTTTGAGATGAAGTCTTGCTCTGTCGCCCAGGCTGGAGTACAATGGCATGATCTCCACTCACTGCAACTTCCACCTCCCAGGTTCAAGCGATTCTCCTGTCTCCAAGTAGCTGGGATTACAGGTGCACACCACCACACCCAGCTAGAGGTGGGGTTTCACCATATTGGTCAGGCTAGTCTCAAACTCCTGACCTCAGGTGATCCAACTGCCTCCCAAAGTGCTGGGATTACAGGTGTGAGCCACCACCCCCAGGCAGTTCATGCTTTATGACTAGTGTTTATAATCCTGAAAAACATGGAGTGGGTGATTGGTTGGCATCAAGAATCTTAACTTGGCGAGGCTAATAGCCACGCCTGTAATCCCAGCACTTTGGGAGGCTGTGGTGGGCGGATTACCTCAGGTCAGGAGTTCGAGACCAGCCTGGCCACCATGGTGAAACCCCGTCTCTACTAAAAATACAAAAATTAGCCAGGTGTGGTGGTGTGCACCTGTAGTCCCAGCTACTCAGGAGGCTGAGGCAGGAGAATCGCTTGAACCCGGGAGGCAGAGGTTGCAGTGAGCTGAGATCACACCACTGCACTCCAGCCTGGGTGACAGAGCAAGACACCAGGTCTCAATAAATAAATAAATAAATGTCTTTTTTTTTTTGAGACGGAGTTTTGCTCGTCACCCAGGCTGGAGTGCAGTGGCACAATCTTGGCTCACTCCAACCTCTGCCTCCTCGGTTCAAGTGATTCTCCTGTCTCAGCCTCCCAAAGTAGCTGAGATTGCAGGCGCCCACCACCACACCCAGCTAAGTTTTTATTTTTAGTTGAGACAGGGTTTCACACGTTGGCCAGGCTGGTCTTGAACTCCTGACCTCAGGTGATCCACCTGCCTCAGCCTCCCAAAGTGCTGGGATTACAGGCGTGAGTCACCACGCCCAGCCCTTTTTTTTTTTTTTTTTTGAGACGAAGTCTTGCTATTGTCACCCAGGCTGGAGTGCAATGGTGTGATCTTAGCTCACTGCAACCTCCGCCTCCCAGGTTCAAGGGATTCTCCTGCCCCAGCCTCCCGAGCAGCTGGGATTACAGGCACCCGCCACCACACCCAGTTAATTTTTGTATTTTTAGTAGAAATGGGGTTTCACCATGTTGGCCAGGCTGGTCTGGAACTCCCGACCCCAGGTAATCCGCCCGCCTCGGCCTCCCAAAGTGCTGGGATTACAGGCCTGAGCCACCTCGCCTGGCCAAAAAAAGATCCTTAACCTGAGGCTGGTGCCAGGTGCATTTAATAAGATGTTATTAAAGGAGAAATGGGGTAGGGTGAGGACTGGGGCTGACCAAGAGGAAGAGAGCTTCCATTTTCCTGGACAAAGCCAGGAAGGCTCCTTGGGGGAGGCAGCTTTTGGTCTGATCCCTGGTCTGGTGGGATTTGCCTGGGCAGTGCCAGGGAAGGGAACTGCAGATGGAGGCAGCCAAGGGGAAAGGGCTAGAGGAGGGCTCTGTGGGACTCCAGGGACCCGGAGCTCCCTGACCGGGGAGCGGGGCTTCCTTCCTTCTCTCTGAGCGAGTGTGGACTAAATGCCCTGTGGGCTGATTGCAGGGCCCATCTTCTGGCTGCTGGTCAAGAGCCCCGAGCTGGCCGCCCAGCCCAGCACATACCTGGCCGTGGCGGAGGAACTGGCGGATGTTTCCGGAAAGTACTTCGATGGACTCAAACAGAAGGCCCCGGCCCCCGAGGCTGAGGATGAGGAGGTGGCCCGGAGGCTTTGGGCTGAAAGTGCCCGCCTGGTGGGCTTAGAGGCTCCCTCTGTGAGGGAGCAGCCCCTCCCCAGATAACCTCTGGAGCAGATTTGAAAGCCAGGATGGCGCCTCCAGACCGAGGACAGCTGTCCGCCATGCCCGCAGCTTCCTGGCACTACCTGAGCCGGGAGACCCAGGACTGGCGGCCGCCATGCCCGCAGTAGGTTCTAGGGGGCGGTGCTGGCCGCAGTGGACTGGCCTGCAGGTGAGCACTGCCCTGGGCTCTGGCTGGTTCCGTCTGCTCTGCTGCCAGCAGGGGAGAGGGGCCATCTGATGCTTCCCCTGGGAATCTAAACTGGGAATGGCCGAGGAGGAAGGGGCTCCGTGCACTTGCAGGCCACGTCAGGAGAGCCAGCGGTGCCTGTCGGGGAGGGTTCCAAGGTGCTCCGTGAAGAGCATGGGCAAGTTGTCTGACACTTGGTGGATTCTTGGGTCCCTGTGGGACCTTGTGCATGCATGGTCCTCTCTGAGCCTTGGTTTCTTCAGCAGTGAGATGCTCAGAATAACTGCTGTCTCCCATGATGGTGTGGTACAGCGAGCTGTTGTCTGGCTATGGCATGGCTGTGCCGGGGGTGTTTGCTGAGGGCTTCCTGTGCCAGAGCCCAGCCAGAGAGCAGGTGCAGGTGTCATCCTGAGTTCAGGCTCTGCACGGCATGGAGTGGGAACCCCACCAGCTGCTGCTACAGGACCTGGGATTGCCTGGGACTCCCACCTTCCTATCAATTCTCATGGTAGTCCAAACTGCAGACTCTCAAACTTGCTCATTTAAAAGAAAAAAAAAAGAAGAAAATGTACCCGAGTCGTAGATTTTATTTTTCCTCTGTGCATGGGTGAATGCCCATGAGCTGAACAAAGGCAACTCATGGCTTTATTCCTTTTAGGAAACAAGGCATCAGTTTATCACCAGGGCAACAGGCCATGCAAAAGTTCAGACTTGGCCGGGCGCGGTGGATCACGAGGTCAGGAGATCGAGACCATCCTGGCTAACACAATGAAACCCTGTTTCTACTAAAAAAATACAAAAAATTAGCTGGGCATGGTGGTGGGCGCCTGTAGTCCCAGCTACTCGGGAGGCTGAGGCAGGAGAATGGTGTGAAGCTGGGAGGCGGAGATTGCAGTGAGCCGAGATCATGCCACTGCCCTCCAGCCTGGGTGACAGAGCAAGATTCCGTCTCAAAAAAAAAAAAAAGTTCCGACTTTTTAGAGATGAAAGCCCCTTTCACCTGTTTCACAGGAAATAACCGTTTAAGTCCGGGCATCTTACAAGACTGCTGTGTTAGAAACTGGATAGAGATCAGGGTGAGATGAAGGGGCTCTTAGCTTAGGTGCAGAACCGAAGGAGGCACCGAAAAGCTCAGTAATCGAGATAGAAAACATGTTTTCATATTTGAGATACTGGGGAGGCCAGGGATGCTACTCAATATCCCACAGTACACAGAACAGCCACCTAGTCTCGCTCTGTTGCCCAGGCTGGAGTGCAATGGCATGATCTCAGCTCACTGCAACCTGTGTCTCCCATGTTCAAGCGATTCTCATGCCTCAGCCTCCCGAGTAGCTGGGATTACAGGCGCCCACCACCACACCTGGCTAATTAAAGACGGTATCACCATGTTGGCCAGGCTTATCTTGAACTCCTGACCTCAGGTGATCCACCCGTCTTGGCCTCCCAAAGTGCTGGGATTATAGGTGTGAGCCAGTGCACCCAGCCCTTTTTGCTTTTTTAGAGACGAGGTCTTACTGTGTTGCCAAGGCTGGAGTGCAGTGCCGTCACAGCTCACTACAACCTCGACCTGTGATTCTCCTGCCTCAGCCTCCTGAGTATCTGGGACTACAGGTGCATGCCACCACACTTGGCTAATTATTTGTAGAGGTGGCAACATAACATTTGCTATGTTGCCCAGGCTGGTCTCAAACTCCTGGGCTCAAGTGACCCTTCCGCCATGGCCTCCCAAATTGTTGGGATTACAGGCATGAGCCACCGTACCTGGCCTTAGTTTTCTTTCCGATGCCACACCAAATGGCTAGAGGGTGTGTTTGGGATGACCTGAGTCTGGTAGGCAACTTCCAGTGGACCCCACGGTGCGACCACCTCCCTTTGAGTGTGGGGGAGATGTAGCGACTGGCTTCTAGCAGTAGGATAGGGCAGAAGTGACAGTAGGTTAGTCTTGTGGTTAGGTTACAAAACTGACCTCTGTGATGGTAGCGTCCCTCGTCAGCCCTCTTGTCTTGCCCTCTCGCTGGCTGGTGGTGATGGAGCCGGCTGCCATGGTGAGCGGCCCTGTGGAGAAGCCAGGGAGGAATGGAGACAATCTGGAGAAACAGAATCACACCAACAACCACGTGCGTGAGCTTGCTGTGTGCTCTTGCTTGGGAGCAAGTTACAGGTTCAGCCCAAGAGGAGCGGACCACTCCAGGGTGTAAATACCAGGAGGGGGAATTGGAAGACTACCCTAAGCATGCCGACCGGAGACTGTGTGTGTGTAGTAGGTATTTCTTACTGGGAGATCACGGAAAAGCAAGTTTGAGAAACACTCCCATCAGATGGGTGGGCCGAGGATAACCTCAAAGCCTTTGGTTCTCCGAATAGGTGCGTAGGACTCACCCAGGCACTCTTTCCTTTTTTAAATTGTGGTAAAAACTACATAACAGTGGCCAGGCGTGATGGTGCACGCCTGTAATCCCAGCTATTAGGGAGGCTGAGGCAGAAGAACTGCTTGAACCAAGGGGGCACCGCTCCTGGCTGTAACATGTTTTCAATATCCCCCCTCTTCGGTGGCACAGGGGCTGGCCCCATATACATGTGCGATGGCAACTGACAGGGTCCCTGATAAACCGGAGTGCTCCAGAAACACCCCATTGCGTGGGACGGAGGATGTTAGGTGGCCCTCCTAGCGTTTGAGTTTGATAAATGAGCAAAGGAAGTGGTTTTTACTAGAAAGCCAGCTTTCCTTTTTTTTTTTTTTTTTTTTCCAGCCAGCAAACCCCAAACAGGAACCTATGGTTGGTGATGGATGTGCGTTCAGAAAGCAGGGAGGGAGGGGGAGTCAGAGGTGAGGGGGTCATCAGCCATAGCTGTCCGCTGCATCACCCCCTCGCTATCTCCAGGAAGCGTTCTGGGCTTTTCCTGTTGTGCAGTGTGGAAGTGCTCTATCTTCATTCATATCAAGGAAAGTCAAAGGACAAACTAAAGCCGGCAGCGTCTTTCTGGCTTCCTAGTCAGGCTGTTCGGTAGCGGAGTGTCACCCTGATTTCCAGCCCCGCAGCACACACAGTGAGAGCCTGCCTGGCGTGATTCAGAGGCAACGTATTTCCCAAGGTGGCTGTGAAGGAACCAGGGGGATAAACACAGCCCGTGAACCGCACGCCAGAGGACAGGTCCGGCTGCCTGCCGCGGAGTCGTCACGGCGTGTCGCGTCTGAGCGCTTCTCCAAAGCACCCAAGTGGCACCCGGGGTGACAGTTACATCATCTTGAGTACAGTTCTCTCAAGGAAAAAGCAAGCCCAGCATCTTCTGCCATGGCAACCCTGGCTTGGAGCCTCCATAAGAGAGAAGGCCCTAAGAATAATACCATTTTCTTGCTCTAAGTTGCTCTTACGGGAAAGAAGTGATAATATTCTTCCTAAACGCCATCATTCGTGCATCCTTCCCACCTATATGTGTCACCGGATCATTCTCCGCCTGGGCGGGGCCGTCCTGTGCACTGCAGAATGCTGAGCAGTGTCCTTGGCTTCGACCGACCACATGCCAGGAGCACCCCAATTTCTGCCATCGGGTGATTGACTTCACTGTTGCATTTGATTTTTTATGTATCTTTTAAAAGGACCCAATAGGGCCAGGCACAGTGGCTCACACTTGTAATCCCAGCACTTTGGGAGGCTGAGGTCGGTGGATTGCTTGAGCCCAGGAGGAGTTCAAGACCAGCCTGGGCAACATAGTGAAACCCCAACTCTACAAAAAACAAATGTTTTATTTTTATTTATTTTAGATGGAGTTTCACTCTTGTTGCCCAGGCTGGAGTGCAGTGGCGCAATCTCGGCTCACTGCAACTTCTGCCTCCCGGGTTCAAGCGATTCTCCTGCCTCAGCCTCCTGAGTATCTGGGATTACAGGCATGCGCCACCACACCCAGCTAATTTTGTATTTTTAGTAGAGATGGCGTTTCTCCATGTTGGTCAGGCTGGTCTCAAACTCCCGACCTCAGGTGATCTGCCTGCCTCGGCCTCCCAGAGTGTTGGGATTACAGGCGTGAGCCACCACGCCCAGCCGGGTTTATAGTTTTATAACCCTTATGACAAATCTCATAGTATTCTGCAGGGATAAGCATGAAACCACTCGTTCAATAAGTGCAAACAAAAACGCCAACAATTCTTAAGACATTTCTAATCTTATTTTACCAATAATTTTAAAGCCAGCTTATGTATTAAAGATTTATAACTACTTTTATTAACACGTTTAAAATTCTATGCAGCTTAAAGCATTTATAATGGATAAAACTGCCAATACTGAGTGCCTGACATAATATTTGAAAGGTGGCAGGCATTCAACCATGGTCACTGAATGAGAGATGTAGGGAAGATGATGGCAGGGAGGTTTTTAGATATCAACACCCTGATAGTTCTCATTTTAACCACCTGTAAGTGCACATACAAGTCAACGGCACTGGCCGGGCGCGGTGGCTCATGCCTGTATTCCCAGCACTTTGGGAGGCCAAATCACAAGGTCAGGAGATCGAGACCATCCTGGCTAACACGGTGAAACCCCGTCTCTACTAAAAATACAAAAAATCAACTAGGCATGGTGGCACGCACCTGTAGTCCCAGCTACTCAGGAGGCTGAGGCAGGAGAATCGCTTGAACCTGGGAGGCGGAGGTTGCGGTGAGCCAAGATCGCGCCACTGCACTCCAGCCTCGGCGACAGAGTGAGACTCCGTCTCAAAAAACCAAAAAACAAAAAACAGTCAATGGCATTAAATATAAATACATTTACAGTGTTGTGTAACCATCACCACTATGGATCCCCCAGACTTTGTCATCATCTTCAACCTAAGCGCTCCCTATTAAATAGTAACTCCCCACTTTTCCCAGGCCTTGGCAACCACCATTCTAATCCCTGTCTCTATGAATTTGACTCCTCTCGATACCTCAGATAAGCGGCACAATGCAGTATTTATCTGTCAAGTCCGGAATATTTCCTTTAGCATAATGTCTTCAAGGTCCATCACGTTGTAGCATGTATCTGAATTTATTCTTTTATAATATTTTTTATTTTTTGGAGACAGAATCTCGCTCTGTCACCCAGGCTGGAGTGCAATGGCGCGATCTCGGCTCACCGCAACTTCCGCGTCCCGGGTTCAAGCCATTCTCCTGTCTCAGCCTCCGGAGTAGCTGGGACTACAGGTGCCTGCCGCCATGCCCGGCTATTTTTTTTTTGTATTTTTTGGGGGTTTTACTGTGTTGCCCAGGCTGGTCTTGAACTGCTGAGCTCAGGCAATCTGCCTGCCTCAGCCTCCTAAAGTACTAGGATTACAGGCATGGGCCACCACGCCCGGCCTTATTTTTATTTTTGAGACAGTCTCACTCTGCCGCCCAGGCTGGAGTGCAGTGGTGCGATCTCGGCTTACCGCAATCTCTGCCTCCCAGGTTCAAGCGATTCTCATGCCTCCGTCTCCCAAGTAGCTGGGATTACAGGCACCTGCCACCATGCCCGGCTAATTTAACGCCCAGCTAATTTTTGTATTTTTAGTAGAGATGGGGTTTCACCATGTTAACCAGGCTGGTCTCGGACTCCTGACCTCAGGTGATCCGCCCGCCTCGGCCTCCCAAAGTGCTGGGATTACAGGCGTGAGCCACTGTGCCTGGCTGATTTTTATTCTTTTAGTTAAGGCTGGTTGATATTACCTTGTGTGTATATACCACATGTTGTTTATCCATTGTTGTTGATGGACATGTGGGTGGTTTCACCTTTTGGCTATTGTGAATAAAGCTGCTATGAACACTGTGTACAAATATGTTAGAGACCCTGTTTTCAGTTCTTTTAGGTGTGTACCCCGAAGTGGAATTGCTGGATTTTATGGCAATCCCACGTTTAACTTCTGGAGGAGCTGCTGGAACTGTTTTCCACAGCAGGGGCGCCATGTTACGTCCCTGCCAGCAATGCACGCGCAGTTCAATTTCTCTGCATACTCACCAATATCTGCTGTTTTCCATTAAAAAAAATTATAGCCGGTCGGGTGCAGTGGCTCATGCCTGTAATCCCAGCACTTTGGGAGACCGAGGCAGGTGGATCAACTGAGGTCAGGAGTTCAAGACCAGCCTGGCCAACACAGTGAAACCCCATCTCTACTAAAAATACAAAAATTAGCCTGGTGTGGTACATACCTATAATCCCAGCCACTTGGGAGGCTGAGGCAGGAGAATCGCTTGAACCTGGGAGGTGGAGGTTGTAGTGGGCCGAGATGGCGCCACTGCACTCCAACCTGGGCAAAAAGAACGAGACTTTGTCTCAAAAGAAAAAAAAAAAATACAGCCATTCCAGAAGGTGTGAAGTCATATCTCACTGTGGTTTTGATGCGTATTTTCCTAGTGACATCAGGGAGTTTATGGGAGCACGGGAACACAGACCAGGCCCCAGCAGGCGGACAAACGGTGCAACGCCAGGCTGGCCAGAGGAGATAAGCGCGGCTCCTTGGAGCTTGTGTGCAAGTCACTGTACTGAGGAGCCGGCTACGGCTCGATGAGTCTCAATTAGGAAAGGCCGGGGCTGGTGGAGGAAGGGAGGAGAGCATTCTTCATCCTCATCACATCCTGAGCCTGTGCCCCAGGCTCCCACCACTTCCCTCCCTGGCCACAGAGCTCAGGACAGGGCTGAGGAACCATGTCTCCATCCCCGACCGCCCTCTTCTGTCTTGGTGAGTCCTGAGGGTCAGATCTGGGAAATGCTGAAGGACAGGCATGGACTGCCAGACAAAGGATTTTTAAGAAATTTGCATTGGTGATGAATTTCAGGACAAAAAGGAACCTGTAAGAGCCCCTTCATTTGTTGGGTGGGGAAACGGGGGGCCAGCGAGCTGGCATTTTGCATGAGTTATTCCAGTGTATTCATGGCTGGGTCAGGAAATGAACAGAGTATCCTAGCATTGGTCACAACTTTGTTCTACTACACTGCAGTTGCCCCTTTTTTAAAAAATGTGGGCCAGGCACAGTGGCTCACGCCTGTAATCTCAACCTTGGGAGGCCGAGGTGGGTGGATCACCTGAGGTCAGGAGTTCAAGACCAGCCTGGTCAACATGGTGAAACCCCATCTCTACAAAAATTAGCCGGGCGTGATGGCGGGTGCTTGTAATCCCAGCTACGTGGGAGGCTGAGGTGGGAGAATTGCTTGAAACTGGGAGGCAGAAGTTGCAGTGAGCTGAGGTCAGGCATTGCACTCCAGCCTGGGCAACAGAGAGAGCCTCCATCTCAAAAAAAAAAAAAAAAAAAAAAAAAAAGGCTGAGTGCCATGGCTTACACACTTTGGGAGGCCGAGGCGGGTGGGCCATCTGAGGTCGGGAGTTTGAGACCAGCCTGACCAACATGGAGAAACCCCATCTCTACTAAAAATACAAAATTAGCCGGGTGTGGTGGCACATGCCTGTAATCCCAGCTACTCTGGAGGCTAAGGCAGGAGAATCGCTTGAACCTGGGAGGTGGAGGTTGCGGTGAGCCAAGATCACACCATTGCACTCTGGCCTGGGCAACAAGAGCGAAACTCCGTCTCAAAAAAAAAAAAAAAAAAATTGTGGAATTGATATCTGGACTAGGTATGGATTTAATTTGTCAGTATCCCCTACAGTAGTGGAGTAAATAGTCTCCTGATGGATGGGTGGCAGGTCGAATGCATTTCTGCTGCCTGATCTTCACTTGTGCTGGGCATGTCGAATGCATTATTTCCTGATTTCTTCAGAATTTGACCACTAAAGGGACAGCATCTCCAAAAGGCTAAGCAGGAAGAAGATGGTTGCATTACTGGAGATGAGAGGGTTAACTGTGAATATAAACAACCTCTCATTCATTATCCATCCATGGATGTATTCTTTTTTTCTTTTTGTTTGTTTTTTGAGATGGAGTCTCGCTCAGTCGGTCGCTCAGGCTGGAATGCAATGGCATGATCTCAGCTCACTGCAAACTCTGCCTCCCGGGTCCAAGTGATTCTCCTGCCTCAGCCTCCCGAATAGTTGGGATTACAGGCATCTGCCACCAGGTCTGGCTAATTATTGTATTTTTAGTAGGGGCGGGGTTTCACCATGTTGGCCAGGCTGGTCTCAAGCTCCTTACTTCAGGTTCCACCCGCCTCGGCCTCCCAAAGTGCTGGGATTACAGGCGTGAGCCACCGCACCCAGCCTGTTTTAACTTTTATTTATTTAATTTTATTTGAGATAGGGCCTCACTTCTGTCACCCAGGCAGGAGGGCAGTGGCATGATCATGGCTCACTGCAGCCTCAACCTCCCAGGCTCAACCAGTGCCTCCCCATCAGCCTCCTGAGTATCTGGAACTACAGTTGTACACCATCATGCCTGGCTTGTTTTTGTAATTTTTTTAGTTACGGGGGTCCGCTATGTTGCCCAGGCTGGTCTTGAACTCCTGGGCTCAAGCGATCCACCCACCTCGGCCTCCCAAAGTGTTGGGGTTACAGGTGTGGCCTGTACAGGTTACTGCATCTGGCTTGTTGCTTCAGTAGCTTTTGGGATACAAGTGGTTCTTGGTTACATGGATGAATTATATTCTGGTGAATTCTGAGATTTTAGTGCACCTGTCACCTGACTAGTGTACCTTGTACCTAATGTGTAGTTTTTCATCCCTGCCCCACTTCTGCCCTTCCCTTCTGAGTCTCTGAAGTCCATTACATCACTCTGCATGCCTTTGCATACCCACAGCTTAGCTCTCACTTATAAGTGAGAATATACAGATTTTTGTTTTCCACTCCTGTATTACTTTACTTAGAATAATGCCTTCCAGCTCCATCCAAGTTGCTGCAAAAGACTTTTTTTTTTTTTTTTTAAAGACGGAATCTCGCTCTCTCACCAAGGCTGGAGTGCAGTGGTGTGATCTCGGCTTACTGCAAACTCCACCTCCCGGGTTTAAGTGATTCTCCTGCCTCAGCCTCCCGAGTAGCTGGGACTACAGGCACCCGCCACCATGCCCGGCTAATTTTTGTATTTTTAGTAGAGATGGGGTTTCACCATGTTGGGCAGGATGGTCTTGATCTCTTGACCTCGTGATCCACCCACCTCGGCCTCCCAGAGTGCTGGCATTACAGATGTGAGCCACTGTGCCTGGCCAAAAGACATTATTTCACTCCTTTTAATGGCTGAGTAGTATTCCACGCTCATTTATTTTTATTTATTTTTATTTTTTGACATGGAGTCTCACTCTGTTGCCCAGACTGGAGCGCAGTGGCATGACGTTGGCTCACTGCAACCTCCACCTCCCAGGTTCAAGCGATTCTCCTGCCTCAGCCTCCCAAGTAGCTGGGATTACAGGCTCCTGCCACTACGCCCCGCTAATTTTTGTATTTTTAGTAGAGACAGGGTTTCACCATGTTGGTCAGGCTGCTCTCGAACTCCTGACTTCAGGTGATCCGCCCACCTTGGCCTCCCAAAATGGGATTACAGGTGTGAGCCAGCGCGCCCGGCCGGTGAGAACATTTAAAATCTACTATCGGTGATATGCAAGTGTACAATATGTTGTTATTAACTACAGTCACCATGATGTGCAGTAGATCTCCAAGACATACTCCTCTTGTCCAACTGAAACTGTCCTCCTCTGACCAACATCTCCCCAAACCTTACCCCACCGCCCCGGTAACCACCACTGTGCTCTCTACTCCTGTAAGTTCCCAAGTCCACACTCTTTACCACTAATTGGTGCTGCTAGGGTTTGAATCTACTCCTGCCAGCTGTAGGACTGTGGATAAGATACTGTCTCACTAGCCTGATGTATAAGAGGGGACTGATAATGGTGGGTAACCCGTACGATTATGGCGACTTGGAGTCCATGCACAGAAGGCGCTCAGCACGGCGCCTGGAAGACTCCCAGCCATGGTACAGCGTCGCATGGAAACCTACAAAGAGGCTGAGGTGGGCTGTGATGCGGCAGGAGGAGGGGGACAGAGAAGCGGCCGGAGCTTGCGTTGGGGTGCAGAGGGAGCCTGGGGTGGACAAAGGGTGGTGGCTATGGGGGCGCTGGTGACAAGTTGTCACTCTCTGAGCTCAGAGTCAAGACATGAGCTGGGTTCACCCACTTCTTGCTATGTGAGCTACACAAGGTTGCTTGGCCTCTGCCCAGTTTCCTTATGTTTACAGTGGGAATGACAACTATCCCGCCTTTGTGTGTGTGTGTGTGTGTGTGTGTGTGTAAGAATGAGGGTTACCAGATAAAACACTGGATGCCTGGTTAAATTGGAATTTCAGATAATTAGTACTTTTTTTTTCCTCCTCCTCTTCGTTTTCTGAGACAGGGTCTTGCTCTGTTGTCAGTCTGGAGTGCAATGGGGCAATATCATTTTTTTTTTTCCTCGAGATGGAGTCTTGCTCTGTTGCCCAGGCTGGAGTGTAGTGGCGTGATCTTGGCTCACTGCAACCTCCGCCTCCCGGGTTCAAGTGATTCTCCTGACTCAGCCTCCCCAGTAGCTAGGATTACAGGCACGTGCCACCATGCCCAGCTAATTTCTGGTATTTTTAGTAGAGATGGTGTTTCACCATGTTGACCAGGCTGGTCTTGAACTCCTGACCTTGTGATCCGCCCACCCTGGCCTCCCAAAGTGCTGGGATTATAGGCATGAGCCACCGTGCCCGGCCAGTGGTGCAATCTTACCTCACAGCAGACTTGACCTCCTGGGCTCAAGCAATTCCAGGAGGGGATCGCTTATGTACATGTATTTGTATACATATGTATACACACACACACACACACACACACACATGCATACATATATACATATACATACATATACACGTGTGTATGTACACACGTGTATATGTACATACACATGTATGTATAGATGTAGGTTTACATATATGCACTATATGTGTATATACATATAGTAATCAGATCAGGGTAAGTAGCACACCCATCTTCTCAAACATGCATCCTTTCTGTGTTGGGAACTTTCCCCATCCTCCTTCAGGCTATTTGAAACGATTATTATATATATTATATCCTATCATGTAATCATGGAATACTGATTCAAGCAAATGTTGTAAATACCGGGAAACCCATGGCCAGCACATGCTGAGACGTCCTGACTTACACGCTGAGGCTCCATCCTGCTCCATCCTTGGAGCCCAATGCATCCCATTAGTGTGGGGTTTTATCGCATATATTACATAGACAATAAAATACAATAATATACAATATGCAATAGTATTTACAATACTTGTCTATACAATTGCATACTATTGTAATGTACTTGGATATTATTTAATATTGGGAGACTGAAGGGAGGAAACGAAGGGACAGCAATGTCTCAGGTCCCATTCCTCACATCCACTGAGGAAGTCAATGGGCAATGTCTAACACGAACGAGCCCACCGTGTCTAACACAACACAAACGAGCCCACCGTGTCTAACACAACACGAACGAGCCCACCGTGTCTAACACAACACGAACGAGCCCACCGCGTCTAACACGAACGAGCCCACCGCGTCTAACACGAACGAGCCCACCGTGTCTAACACAACACGAACGAGTCCACCGTGTCTAACACAACACGAACGAGCCCACCGTGTCTAACACAACACGAACGAGTCCACCGTGTCTAACACAACACGAACGAGTCCACCGTGTCTAACACGAACGAGTCCACCGTGTCTAACACGAACGAGTCCACCGTGTCTAACACGAACGAGTCCACCGTGTCTAACACAACACGAAGGAGTCCACCGCGTCTAACACGAACGAACCCACCGCGTCTAACACGAACGAACCCACCGTGTCTAACACGAACGAACCCACCGTGTCTAACACGAACGAGTCCACCGTGTCTAACACAACACGAACGAGTCCACCGTGTCTAACACAACACGAACGAGTCCACCGTGTCTAACACGAACGAGTCCACCGCGTCTAACACGAACGAGTCCACCGTGTCTAACACAACACGAACGAGTCCACCGTGTCTAACACGAACGAGCCCACCGTGTCTAACACGAACGAGCCCACCGTGTCTAACACGAACGAGTCCACCGTGTCTAACACGAACGAGCCCACCGTGTCTAACACGAACAAGTCCACAGAGAGCAGTACGCCACCATGCCTTGCCCTCCTCTCCCACCACCCCCAGCCATGGATCTGCTTTCTTCTCCATCTCCTATAGATTTACCTATTCTGGATATTTCATGTAAATGACCTCATAAACTATGTGGCTTTTTCTGACCGGTTTCTCTCACTTAAATTACATTCCTGTGTGTCTTTTGAAGAAATTATTAGGACAGAGTAAAGCATATGCATGCAAATGTCTTATCACCGCGCCCAGCAGGCAGGAATGTCCATAAAAGCGAGTCCTGGCATCTGGTCCCTTTCTTCTTTCCTCAGGGCTGTGTCTGGGGCGTGTGCCAGCGCAGAGTGGTGAGTCCTTCCCCAGACCCCTTCCCTCCTGCGGGATCCGCCAGCGCGGGAGCAGCGGGGTCCAGGCGGGGTCTGCGGGGAGGCTGACCCAGCCCTGCTCCTCTTCCAGGACCGCTCCCCAAGCCCTCCCTC
Organism: Homo sapiens; assembly: GCF_000001405.40. Taxonomy (NCBI): domain Eukaryota; kingdom Metazoa; phylum Chordata; class Mammalia; order Primates; family Hominidae; genus Homo; species Homo sapiens. Next base: position 744,534 of record NW_003571061.2, on the reverse strand, counting down.
CAGGCTCTGCCCAGCTCCCTGGTGCCCCTGGAGAAGCCAGTGACCCTCCGGTGCCAGGGACCTCCGGGCGTGGACCTGTACCGCCTGGAGAAGCTGAGTTCCAGCAGGTACCAGGATCAGGCAGTCCTCTTCATCCCGGCCATGAAGAGAAGTCTGGCTGGACGCTACCGCTGCTCCTACCAGAACGGAAGCCTCTGGTCCCTGCCCAGCGACCAGCTGGAGCTCGTTGCCACGGGTAAAGGAAGGGGGATCGGAGCCTGGGACTGCGTGGTCCTCCGTTCAGGACACAAATACGGGGGACATTGAGGGCAGGGATTAGGGTGAGGCAAACGAGGCACTGGCCTAGCGGGTGGTGGTGCCACGACATTTATGGATCAATGTGAATAATATTTTGTTTTTTGGACACAGGGTCTTGCTGCGTCACCCAGGGTGGAGAGCAGTGGCGCGATCTTGGCTCACTGCAGCCTCCACCTCCAGGGCTCAAGCGATTCTCCCGCCTCAGCCCTCCAAGTAGCTAGGATTACAGGTGTGCACCACCACGCCCAGCTCATTTTTTATGTTTTTATAGAGATGGGGTCTCTTGACAGTTTTCACAAAAGGCATTAAAATACAAAAGAGAGAGAGATAGGGTCTCGCTATGTTGCTCAGGCTGGTCTCGAACTCCTGTGGGCTCAAGCTATCCTTCCACCTTGGCTTCCCAAAGTGTTGGGATTTCAGGCGTGAGCCACTGCATCTGGCTGTGAATAACATTTTCATGCAATTTTTAAAAAAATCAAAATAAATTGCAAAAACATCCACAATGAAAAAAACCAGAATTTCAAATAAAGGCAGAATCAGCCAGTGCCTGTGTCAAGTCATACCAGAGTCTGTGCCAAAACGAAAAACAGGCAACCCTTTATCTGTGTTTTAATGCACTTAAAAAAATTAGCGATGGGGTCTTGCTACACTGCCCAGGCCGGAGTGCAGTGGCTGTTCATAGGAGCAGTCATAGCTCACTGCAGCCTGGAGCTCCTTGCCTTGAGCAATCCTCCTGCCTCAGCCTCATGAGTAGCAGGGACTACGGTCACGGGCCACCGTGCTTGGCTCGGGATTCTTTTTAAAACTTTGTTTTGGAGTAATTTTTAGACTGACAGAAAAGTTCCAAAGATAATATTAATGGAAATATTTCACCCAGGATCCCCTCATGTTAACATCTTACATTTGTTACAACCAAAAAATAAACGTAGCACTGGTCCCAGTGGTTTACACCTGTAATCCCAGCACTTTGGGAGGCTGAGGCGGGAGGATTGCTTGAGCTCAGGAGTTCAAGACCAGCCTGGGCAACATAGTGAGACCTCATCTTTAAACAAAATTAAAAATTAGTGGGGCATGGTGGCATACACCTATAGTCCCAGCTACTCAGGAGGCTGAGGCAGGAGGATCGCTTGAGCCAGGGAGGCCGAGGCTGCAGGGAGCTGTGATCACGCCACTGCACTCCAGCCTGGGTGACAGAGTGAGACCCTGTATCAAAAAACAAACAAAAAACTAACCATAGACACAACTATATTATATCAAGTAAACTCCAGGCTATTTGAATTTCACCAGTCTTTCCACTAATATCCTATTTCTGTTCCCAGACCCCGTCCAGGGCCCCACAGTGCATTTAGTATTTATGTCTCCTTAGACTCTTGATTGGTGCAAATATTCTAATTTCTTTTCTTATTTATTTATTTTTTTTAAGAGAAGAGGTTGGGCCGGGCGCGGCGGCTCACGCCTGTAATCCCAGTACTTTGGGAGGCTGAGGTGGGTGGATCACTTAAGGTCAGGAGTTTGAGACCAGCCTGGCCAACATGGTGAAACCCCGTCTCTACTAAAAAAAATAATAATAATTAGCTGGGCGCGGTGGCGCACTCCTGTAATCCCAGCTACTCCGGAGGCTGAGGCAGGAGAATCGCTTAAACCTGGGAGGCGGTGAGCCGAGATTGCACCACTGCAGTCCAGCCTGGGCGACAGAGCAAGACTCCGTCTTGGGAAAAAAAAAAAAAGAGAAGAGGTCTTACTATGTTGCCCAGGCTTTAGTACACTCGCTGTATTCACAGGCATGATCATAGCTCACTTTAGCCTCAAATCCCTGGGCTCAAGTGGTCCTCCCTAGTAGCTGGGACTATAGGTGCACCCAGTTAGTGCACTTTTAAATGGTTATTTTCTAGAAGTAGGTTTTGGAAATAGCACTGATGCGCTTGCATCCACAAAAGCCTAGAATGTAAAATTCTAATAAATCTTTCAGGGGAATAAAGTATTCAAACAGAATAATGTGAGTTTTAACGACCTACTCTTCAAATTTTCAATAATTTTTTCAAATATGTTAATTGTTTGGGAATAATTAAATTTTACATCCCAGGAGAGTGCCTCACTCACGCCACCCTAATTCCTGGCCAGCTGCACTGTGGTCTATTCCGCGTTATAAATCCTGCCTCCCTCCCCTCTTCCCTGCCTCACTCCCCTCCACAGCATCACTGGCCTCCTCTCTGCTACTAGAATGGACCAGCCTGGCTGCCTCATTACTTCTTTCAGGGTCAGACTCAAATACTCTCTTCTCGCTAAGTATATCCCCCACCACCCTAGTCAAAGTGGCCCTCCTCACTATCTGGTATGTGAAGTATACCTTTTTTTATCTTGGTGGTGGTTGTCTATTTTTAATTCCTGGTCGGGCACGGTGGCTCACGCCTGTAATGCCAGCACTTTGGGAGGCCGAGGTGGACGGATCACCTGAGGTCAGGAGTTCGAGATCAGCCTGGCTAACATGGTGAAACCCTGTCTCTACTAAACATACAAAATTAACTGGGCATGGTGGTGCATGCCTGTAGTCCCAGCTACTCGGGAGGCTGAGGCAGGAGAATCGCTTGAACCCAGGAGGTGGAGGTTGCAGTGAGCTGGGATCATGCCACTGCACTCCAGCCTGGGCAACAGAGTGAGATTCTGTTTCCCAAAAAAAAAAAAAAAAAAAAAAAAAAAAAAAATATATATATATATATATATATATATATATATATATATATATATATATATATATATATATGCCATTGCACTCCAGCCTGGGTGACAGAGCGAGACTCCGTCTCAAAACAAAACAAAACAAAACAAAACAAATGAAACAACAAAAAAAGAATACAGACAGACACATAATAGTTGCTTAAGTGAAAATTAAGAGAAAATATTGCTGAGTGAATGTTACAGTTATCAGGCAGCTTATATATTTCCTTCCTTCCTTCCTCCCTCCCTCCCTTCCTTCCTCTTTCTTTCTTTTTCTTCTTGTTGAGTGAATGCCATAATTATTAGGCAGCTTATATTTTTATCTTCCTTACTTCCTTTCTTTTGCTTTCTCTCTCTGTCTTTTTTTGAGACAAGGTCTCACTCTGTCACCCAGGCTAGTGTACAGTGATCATAGCTCACTGCAGCCTCGCCTTCCTGGGCTCAAGCGATCCTCCCACCTTGGCCTCCCAAAGTGCTGGGATGACCGGTGTGAGCCGCCGCACCCAGCCTCAACCTTTGTTTTTCTGACTCCTGTGTGCAGGCATGCATCACCACACCGGTCTATGACAACAACCTCACATCAGAGTAGTGTAGGTTCGTGTTTAGGAGCGGAGACCCTGGAATCAAACTCTGTGAGTGCAGATTTCAACTCTGCCACTTATGATCTTGGACAAGTTTTTTATTTATTTTTAAATTAAAATATGTCCAGCTTTGTTGAGGTATAATTGAAAAACAAAAATGGAATATATCCAAGGTGTACAAGTTGATGTTTTGATATACGAATCCACTGTGAGACAGTTACTACTAGCAAGCTAATTAACATACATCACCTGACACAGTTAACTTTTTTGTGTGTGAGAATACTTATAATCTACCCTCTTAGCAAATTTCAGCTGTACACTGCAGTATTGTTACCTAGAGTTGGACAAATTATTTAATGCCATGTGCCTTAGTTTCATTTATAAAATAGGGACATTAAGAGTGAGGACTCCATAGGTCTCTGAGGATTCACTGAACTGATATACATCATAAGTTTGGAAGGCACCCGGAAGCTAGCACTGTCAGCCACATTTACAACGTAACAATTGTATGTGGCAATACAAGCTTACAGCACAGTATAAGCTTAAGCTATTTACTTACTCCAGCGCTTGCTAGGCAACAGGCACTCTGCAAATTACTGTGTACTGTCTCATTCAGTCATCCCCATTTTAACAGAACAAGGCAGTGAGGCTCAGATACAGAGGGAGATTTGTCTCCAGGGCCACCAGGCCCCTGAAGGCAGAACTAGGATTTGCACCCAAGCACTAGGACGTGAGCACAGCCTCCTTCCTCAACCACTGGGTGACTCGACCTCTCTGTGAGCTTGGGTGGGGGAGTGCGCTCTCTGGGAGGGATACAGCCAAAAAGCTCCCCAGCTCTTAGGCAGGTGTGGGGACCTCCCCAGTCTCAGCTGAGATGCTGGCTCCTGCCTTCAACATCAGACTTTCTTTTTCTCCCAGGAGTTTTTGCCAAACCCTCGCTCTCAGCCCAGCCCGGCCCGGCGGTGTCGTCAGGAGGGGACGTAACCCTACAGTGTCAGACTCGGTATGGCTTTGACCAATTTGCTCTGTACAAGGAAGGGGACCCTGCGCCCTACAAGAATCCCGAGAGATGGTACAGGGCTAGTTTTCCCATCATCACGGTGACCGCCGCCCACAGCGGAACCTACCGATGCTACAGCTTCTCCAGCAGGGACCCATACCTGTGGTCAGCCCCCAGCGACCCCCTGGAGCTTGTGGTCACAGGTAGGGGTAGTGCAGACCAAACCTTTCTTCCTCAGCCTTTATAGGTCCTGATGGCCATTCCAAGGGAGGGGCCATAAGTGGGAAGGAAGTGGGAGGGCAGGAAGCCCTGGGCTGCAGGGGCGGGGCCGTAGGTGGGAAGGAAGTGGGAGGGCAGGAAGCCCTGGGCTGCAGGGGCGGGGCCGTAGGTGGGAAGGAAGTGGGAGGGCAGGAAGCCCTGGGCTGTAGGGGCGCGGCCATAGGTGGGAAAGAAGTGGGAGGGCAGGAAGCCCTGGGCTGCAGGGGCGGCGCCAGAGGTGGGAAGGAAGTGGGAGGGCAGGAAGCCCTGGGCTGCAGGGGCGGGGCCGTAGGTGGGAAGGAAGTGGGAGGGCAGGAAGCCCTGGGCTGCAGGGGCGGGGCCGTAGGTGGGAAGGAAGTGGGAGGGCAGGAAGCCCTGGGCTGCAGGGGCGGGGCCGTAGGTGGGAAGGAAGTGGGAGGGCAGGAAGCCCTGGGCTGCAGGGGCGGGGCCGTAGGTGGGAAGGAAGTGGGAGGGCAGGAAGCCCTGGGCTGCAGGGGCGGGGCCGTAGGTGGGAAGGAAGTGGGAGGGCAGGAAGCCCTGGGCTGCAGGGGCGGGGCCAGAGGTGGGAAGGAAGTGGGAGGGCAGGAAGCCCTGGGCTACAGGCAGCTGGGAGAATGGAGGTTTCTTTTTTTTTTTTTTGACGAAGTCTCACTCTGTCACCCAGGCTGGAGTGCAGTGGCGCGATCTCAGCTCACTGCAACCTCCGCCTTCCGGGTTCAAGCGATTCTGCTGCCTCAGCCTCTCGAGTAGCTGGAATTACAGGTGCCTGCCACCATGCCCGGCCAATTTTTGTATTTTTAGTAGAGACGGGGTTTCACTATGTTGGTCAGGCTGGTCTTGAACTGACCTCATGATCTGCCCGCCTCGGCCTCCCAAAGTGCTGGGATTACAGGCGTGAGCCACCGCGTCGGACTTGACTACCATTCTTAAAGGGGGTTTCTTTCAAAAAAGAGCAGCATACCTCATAATGTGGTTATATACATGCAATGGAATATTATGCAGCCTTAAAAAAGAAGGAAATTCTGACACATACTACAACATGGATATACCTTGAGGACATTATGCTAAGTCAGTCACAAAAGGACAACTACTGTATGATTCTAGTCAAAGGAGGTATCTAATGTCAACACTGTAGAAACACAAAGTACAATGGTGGTTGTTAAGGGCCAGAAAGAGGAGAGAGAAGGAATTAGTGTTTAATGGGCACAGAATTTCAGTTTTGCAAGAAAAATAAGTTCTAGAGGTCAACATATTGTACCACAATGTGAACATACCCAACGCCACTGATCAGTACATTTAACAATGTCATATTAAATCAAACAAAATACATCATTTAGTTTTTGGTAGAAAAATCTGTTTTGCCCCCAGGGTCACAGTGAGGGGTAGGACACAGGAATCCAGAAGAAATAGAACTGAGGTTGAAAAAGGTGGACGGGAGCTGCATGCATTTCCTTGTTAATAGCCCAGAATGTGCCAGGTGTGCTTTACAAATGCTGCTGCTTTTTTTTTTTTTTTTTTTTTTGGGGGGAGTCTCACTTTGTCACCCAGGCTGGAGTGCAGTGGAGTGATCTCAGTTCACTGCAACCTCCACCTCCTGGGTTTAAGCGATTCTCCTGCCTCAGCCTCCTGAGTAGATGGGATTACAGGCACCTGCCATCATGCCCAGCTAATTTTTGTATTTTTCGTAGAGACAGGGTTTCACCATGTTGGCCAGGCTGGTCTTGAACTCTTGACCTCAGGTGATCTGCCTGCCTCGGCCTCTCAAAGTGCTGGGATTACAGGTGTGAGCCACCACGCCTGGCTAAGCCTTTTTTTTTCAGATGGAGTCTTACTGCGTCACCCAGGCTGGAGTGCAGTGGTGCGATCTCAGATCACTGCAACCTCTGCCTCCTAGGTTCAAGTGATTCTCCTGCCTCAGCCTCCCGAGCAGCTGGGATTACAGGTGCACACCACCACGCCTGGCTAATTTTTGTATTTTTAGTGGAGACGGGGTTTCACCATACTGGCCAGGCTGGGCTTGAACTCCTGACCTCAAGTGATCTGCCCTCCTCAGCCTCCCAAAGTGCTGGGATTACAGGCATGAGGCACTGCACCCAGCTCAAATGCTTATTAACATCCACAACAGTCCAGTGATGTAAGCTACTTTAGGCTCATTTTTCCGGTGAGGAAACTCAGTCACGGAGATGTTTCGTTATTTGTTCAGGACCCACAGCGACAGAGCACAGATTTATCTCATTTTCTGATTTCCCAGGAACCTCTGTGACCCCCAGCCGGTTACCAACAGAACCACCTTCCCCGGTAGCAGGTAGGTTCTGCAGGGTCCATTCTGGTGCACAGCGTATGAGGTACACGGACCCCTTCTCTCTCTCCTCTCTGCCTAGACTTCTCGATTTAATTCAGTTGGTTCTTTCACAGATTTGCTTTGTTTTAAAAATCCTTTATTTCTGCCTGTAAACAGGGTGGGTGTCCTAAGTAGTTAGATGTTAAGATGCTGCCCCCAATCCTACTCTAGGTGGATGGTTTATCACATATAACATGCAGAAGAATAATCGGAGTGGCTTGCTATACTGTGGAGTCCAGCTGGTTGAATATGGGTGACAAAAACAAACAAACTAACCAACCAACCAACCAACCAACCAACCAACAAACCTGTAGAGTCCGGGACTCTGTTTCTGAGTCACTGAATGCATTGATCAGCGGTTCTCAAACTTCCATGAGCATAAGAATCACCTGGAGGCTTAAAGAATAGATTTCTGAGCCCCCAGGGCTTCTGCTTCAGTAGGTCTGGGGTGAATCCAGTCATTTTCATTCCTAGTAAGTTCCCAGGTGATGCTGATGCTATGGCTCCAGAATGCTGCTTTGAGAACCACTGCGGTAAGTTTTGTGTGAGGCGTGTTATCCCCTCCACTTTCACAAACATCTCAGCTGAATACGGTGTACCAGACTACGGCCTGCACTTTAAGAATATCATACGCTAGGCTGGAGGCTGGGCGTGTCTAACATTCCCTGTGTCTCAGAGTGAAGCACCAAGGCAGGAGAAACATGCTGGAAAGAGCCGAGGTTGATAAGGATGAGATTTGCGGGGTTGAGGGCAGAGTGAGGGCTATTATGCCTAGTGGGCAGGGACATGGAAGATGGTCACATACTGTGTGCGTGCATATGTGTGTGTGCGTGCATGTGCGTGTGTGCGTGCATATGTGTGTGTGCGTGCATATGTGTGTGCATGCGTGCATATGTGTGTGTGTGCATGCGTGCATATGTGTGCGTGTGCTTCTGACTGAATTTTTGAACTTTCTCTTTTGAAATGGTTCTAGAGTCACAGGAAGTCTACAATGATAGAACAGAAGAATCCCATGTGCTCTTTTTCCAGTTTCCTCTAATGGTTACATCTTACGTAATTAGAGTACAACATAAAAACCAGGAATTTGACATTGGCATAAAGTAGGTGTCTAGTTCTATGCCAATTTGTCACAGTTGTAGATTCGCGTCACCATCACCGCAGTCACTGTACAGAACTCTTCCGTCTCACAAGGGCCTCCCTTGGGCTACCCTTTTATATTCACACCTACACCCTTCTCCTTCCCTTGCCATCCCTAACTCCTGGTATCCATTAATTTGTTCTCCATCTCTATAATCTTCCATTTCTAGAATCTGATGTAAATGGGATCATCCAGTATGCAACCGTTTGAGATATCCTTTTGTCACTCAGTGCAATGCCCCTGAGGCCCATCCAAGCTGCTGTATGTATCAATGATGTGTTCCTTTTGATTGCTGAGCAATATTTCATGCTATATTAGGCCGATTTTGTGCTGCTATAAATATCTGAGACTGGATCATTGATAAGAAAAGAGGTTTAATTGGTTCATGGTTCTGAAGGCCGTATAGGAAGCAGAAGGCTGGCTTCTGCTTTTGGGGAGGCCTCAGGAAGCTTACAGTCATGGCAGAAGGCAAAGAGGGGGTAGCTGTCTCATGTGGTGGGAGCAGGAGCAAGAGAGAGAGAGAGTTGGGACTGGGGGACATGCCACACTTTGCAATAGCCAGATCTTGTGAGAATTCACTTACTATTGCAAGGAAAGCACCAAGCAATGAGGGATCCACCCCTATGATCCAAACACCTCCCACCAGGCCCCCACCTCCAACATTGGGGATCATAATCCAGTATGAGATTTGGTGGGAACACATATTCAAACTGTATCACATGGCATGCAAATACCACACGCTGTGTTGAAATCAAAATCAAAACAAGGTGTATTAAATAGGGAATCCTTTCCCCATTGCTTGTTTTTGTCAGGTTTGTTGAAGATCAGATGGTTGTAGATGTGTGGTCTTATTTCTGAGATCTCTATTCTGTTCCATTGGTCTATGTGTCTGTTTTTGTACCAGTACCATGCTGTTTTGGTTACTATCACCTTGTAATATAGTCTGAAGTCTGAGCCTGAGGCCTCCAGCTTTGTTCTTTTTGCTTAGTATTGTCTTGGCTATATGGGCCCTTTTTTGGTTCCATATGAATTTTATAGTTTTTTCTAATTGTGTGAGGAATGTCAATGATAGTTCAATGGGAATAGCAATGAATCTATAAATTACTTTGGGCAGTATGGCCATTTTCACGATATTGATTCATCCTATCCATGAGCATGGAATGTTTTTCCATTTGTTTGTGTCCGCTCTGATTTTCTTGAGCAGTGAATTGTAGTTCTCCTTGAAGATGTCCTTCACTTTCCTTGTTAGCTGTATTCCTAGGTATTTTATTCTCTTTGTAGCAATTGTGAATGGGAGTTCCTTCATGATTTGGCTCTCTGCCTGTCTATTGTTGGTGTATAGGAATGCTTGTGATTTTTGCACATTGATTTTGTATCCTGAGACTTTGCTGAAGTTGCTTATCAGCTTAAGAAACTTTTGGGCTGAGATGATGGGGTTTTCTAGATATAGGATCATGTCATCTGCAAACAGAGATAGTTTGATTTCCTCTCTTCCTATTTGAGTATCCTTTATTTCTTTCTCTTGCCTGATTATCCTGGCCAGAACTTCCAATACTATGTTGAATAGGAGTGGTGAAAGAGGGCATCCTTGTCTTGTGCTGGTTTTCAAGGGAAATGCCCATTTAGTATGAAATTGGCTGTGGGTTAATAAATGGTGCTGGGAGAATTGGCTAGCCATATGCAGAAAATAGAAACTGGACCCGTTCCTTACACCTTGTACAAAAATTAACTCAAGATGGATGAAAGACTTGGATGCAAAACCCGAAAACTATAAAAACCCTAGAAGAAAATCTAGGTAATACCATTCAGGACACAGGCATGGGCAAAGATTTCATGACAAAAACGTCAAAAGCAATTGTAACAAAAGCAAAAACTGACAAATGGGATCTAACTAAACTAAAGAGCTTCTGCTCAGCAAAAGAAAGTATCATCAGAGTGAACAGACAACCTACAGAATGGGAGAAAATGTTTGCAATCTATCAATTCACAAAAGTCTAATATCCAGAATCTACAAGGAAGTTAAACAAATTTACAAGAAAAAAAAAACCATTAAAAAGTGGGTAAAGGACATGAACAGTCACTTCTCAAAAGAAGACGTTTATGCAGCCAGTAAACATACAAAAAAAAGCTCAACATCACCAATCATTAGAGAAATGCAAATCAAAACCACATTTAGACACCATCTCACACCAGTCAAAATGGCGATTATTAAAAAGTCAAGAAACGCCGGGCACGGTGGCTCACGCCGGTAATCCCAGCACTTTGGGAGGCCGAGGCAGGCAGATCACAAGGTCAGGAGATCGAGACCATCCTGGCTAACACGGTGAAACCCCGTCTCTATTAAAAATACAAAAAATTAGCCGGGCGTGGTGGCGGGCGCCTGTAGTCCCAGCTATTCGGGAGGCTGAGGCAGGAGAATGGCGTGAACCCGGGAGGCGGAGGTTGCAGTGAGCCAAGATTGTGCCACTGCACTCCAGCCTGGGCGACAGAGCAAGACTCCATCTCAAAAAAAAAAAAAAAAAACCAACAAAAGTCAAGAAACAACAGGTGCTGGCGAGGCTGTGGAGAAATAGGAATGCTTTTACACTGTTGGGAATGTAAATTAGTTCATTGTGGAAGACAGTGTGGTGATTCCTCAAAGACCCAGAACCAGAAATCCTTTTTCCTTTTTTTTTTTTTTGAGATGTAGTATTGCTCAATAGCCCATGCTGGAGTGCAGTGGTGCGATCTCGGCTCACTGCAACCTCCACCTCCCAGGTTCAAGCAATTATCCTGTCTCAGCCTCCTAAGTAACTGGGACTACAGGCGCCTGCCACCATGCCTGGCTTTTTTTTTTTTTTTTCTTTTAGTAGAGATGGGGTTTTACCTTGTTGGTCATGCTGGTCTCAAACTTCTGACCTCAGGTGATCCACCTGCCTCGGCCTCCCAAAGTGCTGGGATTACAGGCGTGAGCCACCGCACCAGGGCCACCTTTTTTTTTTTTTTTTTTTTTTAAACAGAGTCTCACTCTGTCACCCAGGCTGGATTGCAGGGGCATGATCTCGGCTCACTGCAGCCTCTGCCTCCAGGGTTCAAGTGATTCTCCTGCCTCAGCCTCCCGAGTAGCTGGGACTGCAGGTGCATGCCACAACGCCTGGCTAATTTTTGGATTTTTGCTAGAGACGGGAGTTTCACCATGTTGGCCAGGGTGGTCTTGAGCTCCTGACCTCAGGTGATCTGCCCACCTCGGCCTCCCAAAGTGCTGGGATTACATGTGTGAGCCACTGCGCCTGGCCAGAAATACCATTTGACCCAGCAATCCCATTACTGGTTATATACCCAAAGGAATATAAATCATTGTATTATAAAGATACATGCACACATATGTTCATTGCAGCACTATTCACAATAGCAAAGACAAGGAATCAACCCAAATGCCCATCAATGATAGAAAGGATAAAGCAAATACAGTACATATACACCATGGAATACTATGCAGCCATAAAAAGGAATGAGATCATGTCCTTTGCAGGGACATGGATGGAGCTGGAAAACATTATCCTCAGCAAACTAACACAGGAACTGAAAACCAAACACTGCATGTTCTCACTTGTAAGTGGCAGCTGAACAATGAGATCACATGGACACAGGGAGGGGAACACCACACACTGGGGCCTGTAGGGGGAATTGGGGGAGGGAGAGGATCAGGATAAATAGCTGATGCGTGTGGGGCTTAATACCTAGGTGATGGGTTGATGGGTGCAGCAAACCACCATGGCACACGTTTACCTATGTAACAAACCTGCACGTCCTGCACATGGATTCTGGAACTGAAATTTTAATTGAAAAAAAAAAAAAAGGTTTATTAATGCATCTCACACGAAGAGAAATAACAAAGACCAAATAATACCCACACTCTCATTATGCCACCGAGAGCTGAGCATAAACTAGTTTTTTCCAAGCTGGTTCCACCATAAAAAGACTCCCAGGATAGTACCCACTGCAACAAGAGCTTCGTATTTATCAGCTGAGGCAGTTCAGGAATATTTTGGTGGCCTCAGGAGGCCCCTGGTTAAGAAAATGGCCTGGCCGGGCGCGGTGGCTCACGCCTGTATTCCCAGCACTTTGGGAGGCTGAGGCGGGTGGATCACAAGGTCAGGAGATCGAGACCATCCTGGCTAACACGGTGAAACCCCATCTCTACTGAAAATACAAAAAAATTAGCCAGGCGTGGTGGCGGGTGCCTGTAGTCCCAGCTACTCGGGAGGCTGAGGCAGGATAATGGTGTGAACCCGGGAGGCAGAGCTTGCAGTGAGCCGAGATTGCACCACTGCACTCCAGCCTGGACGACAGAGTAAGACTCTGTCTCAAAAAAAAAAAAAAAAAGAAAAAAAGAAAATGGCCTAAGTTGGAAGGTGGAGATCCCGTGTTCTGAGGCTAACACGAGCTCATTCTTCCTCTAGGCTCACGAAGACATGGATCCACATCTTATTATTCAAACTGAGATATAATTCACATACCATAAAATTCACCATGCCAACTAGGATGACTATGATTTTTAAAACAAAACAAACGGACAAGAAGTATTGGTGAGGATTTGGAAGAACCTTCTTATATTGCTGGTGGGAATATAAAATGGTGCAGCTGCTTTGAAAAACAGTCTGTGGCCAGGCGCAGCCTGTAATCCCAGCACTTTGAGAGGCCAAGGAGGGTGGATCACGAGGTCAGGAGATCGAGACCATCCTGGCCAACATGGTGAAACCCCGCCTCTACTAAAGTACAAAAAAAAAAGTTGGCCAGGCGTGATGGCAGGTGCCTGTAATCCCAGCTACTCGGGAGGCTGAGGGAGGAGAATCGCTTGAACCCAGGAGGTGGAGGTTGCAGTGAGCTGAGATCGCGCCACTGCACTCCAGCCTGGGCAACAGAATGAGACTCTGTCTCAAAAAAAAAAAAAAAAGAAAAAAAAGAAAGAAGTCTGGTAGTTCTTCAAAAAGTAAAACACAGAGTTACTGTATGACCCAGTGATTCCACCACCCCTGGGTGTGTACCCAAGAGAACAGAAAACTTATGTTCACACAAAAACCTGTACGTCAATGTTCACAGCAGCAATATTCATAACAGCAAAACGTGGAAAAAAAACCAAGTGTCTATCAATTGCTGAACGGATCTGCTTCTTACTAAGCCGGTCATGGAAGATAAGTCTTACACCTTTCGAATTTGTCTGTCTTCAGTGTCTGTGCAGTGTGTCAGAGAAAGGGGTTTCAGGGAGCCTAGATATCTCAAAAGGGGAATGGAGATATCTAGAGGATATAGGGAACCACGGGGAAGACCTAACATTGTTTTGCTTTCTTAGAATTCTCAGAAGCCACCGCTGAACTGACCGTCTCATTCACAAACGAAGTCTTCACAACTGGTGAGTAACCAGGCATTTCATGCTCAGCAGAAAGGAGTGTGAGGACGGAGCTCTCTCTTCCATTATCTAAGCCTGTAGGCTTTTAATCACTTCACCGAACTGTCCGTCTCTTACCAAGAAAGTCCTTGGTGTGAGGCTAGAGCATGGGTGCAGAGTGGAGCTCTGGGGTTCAGAAGGAGGAGCGTTTTGGGTGATGGGGCCATTTCAAAGATGGCGGAGCCAAGGCTGTGGCGGGACGACCGCCATCCCTACGCACTGCTCCCAGGATGAAGTCCTAGGCTTTGGACTCGGCTGTGATCCAGGTATTTAATCTCGCTCCTCACTGTGTCCAGGTAGAGCCCATGCTCGGACGCACACAGACTGTAGGCACCTGGACACAGCACATCTTCTAACCGCTCCAGGCCTCTGCAGATACGCTTTCCTCAGTCTCTTTCCCCTTGCCTGTCCTGGAAAATCTCCATTTCCTTCCAGACTAAACACCTTCACAGATTCCCTGATAATAGGTTAGATACTTCCACTGGGCCCACATGACTCTGGCTTTCATGAGGCACCTGATCCCACGTAGTTCTATTTTTTATTTTTTTGAGGTGGAGTCTTGCTCTGTCGCCCAGGCTGGAGTGCAGTGGTGCGATCTCGGCTCACTGTAACCTCTGCTGCCCGGGTTCAAGCGATTCTCCTGCCTCAGCCTCCCGAGTAGCTGGGATTATAGGTGCATGCCACCACACCTGGCTAATTTTTGTATTTTAGTAGAGACGGGGTTTCAGCATCTTGGGAAGGCTGGTCTTGAACTCCTGACCTCATGATCCACCTGTCTCGGCCTCCCAAAGTGCTGGGATTGGAGGCATGAGCCACCGCGCCCGGCATATCCCAGGGAGTTCTGTGATGGAAGCCTTCCCTATCTTCAGTTCGGAACCTCCCAATCACCCTCAGGATGCAGTTCCAATTCCTCAGCTTGCTATTCTGTGAGCTTAGATATCCAGCCCCTGTTGATCCCTCCAATTTTGTCTGCATACCTTCCACGCATTCCCATGCTGTTCTCAGCCACACACAGTCACTTGAAGCTCTCCTGGAGGCTTCCTAACCTCTCCTGACTCTGCACCCAACCCACTCACTCTGCCTTTTCTTCCATTTCCCCATGGCATCAATTCCTCAAGAAAGCCTTGACCGTCCAGGCTGGATCGATGGTTTCCTCTGCTCTCGCTCAGTGTCTTGTGGGCTGCCTATTACAGCAATTTTTACAGTATATTAAAATTATCGCTTTGTCTGTAATCCCAGCACTTTGGGAGGCCAAGGTGAGTGGATCACCTGAGGTCAGGAGACCAGCCTGGCCAACATGCTGAAACCCCGTCTCTACTGAAAATACAAAAATTAGCCGGGCGTGGTGGTGGGCACCTGTAATTCCAGCTACTTGGGAGGCTGAGGCAGGAGAATCGCTTGAACTCACGAGTTGGAGGTTGCAGTGACCTGAGATCACACCACAGCACTCCAGCCTGGGCAACAGAGTGAGACTCCGTATTAAAAAAAAAAAAAAATCGCTTTACTTTTTGGTCTCCTGCAATAGTCTGGGAACCGCAGATGGACAATGTCTTATGGTTTTTTTGTTTTTTGTTGTTGTTTTTGAGACGGAGTCTCACTCTGCTCACTCTGTGATCTGTGATTTCGGCTCACTCTGCGATCTCAGCTCACTGCAATCTCCGGCTCCTGAGTAGCTGGGACTACAGGTGTGTGCCACCATGCCCAGCTATTTTTTGTATTTTTAGTAAAGACGGGGTTTCACCATGTTGGCCAGGATGGTCTCGATCTCTTGACCTCAGGTGATCCGCCCACCTTGGCCTCCCAAAGTGCTGGGATTACAGGCATTCAGCCAGTGTCATGCCTGGCCTGACAATGTCTTATTAATATTTGGGTTCCCATGGCCCAGCACATGGCTGAGTACCTGGCGAGTCTCAGGAGATACTTGAGGAATAAGAGAGCTGGAGGCCGGGTGCAGTGGCTCACGCCTGTAATCCCAGCACTTTGGGAGGCCTAGGCGGGCGGATCACAAGGTCAGGAGTTCAAAACCAACCTGGCCAATATGGTGAAATCCCATCTCTACTAAAAATACAAAACTTAGCTGGGCGTGGTGGCGGACGCCTGTAGTCCCAGCTACTCGGGAGGCTGAGGCAGGAGAATCGCTTGAGCCCAGGAGGCGGAGGTTGAAGTGAGCCGACATCGGGCCACTGCACTCCAGCCTGGGAGACAGAGCCAGACTCTGTCTCAAAAAAAAAAAAAAAAAAGCTGGCACGTATGAGGTGCTCATATGTCAAGCACGGTGCTTTATATTTCTACCATTATTATTATCTTGACTTTCACATCAACCTATAAGGGATCTTGTTAATTTTATTGGACACATGGGGAACTGGCTCACAGATGCTGAGTCACTTGCCAGATAACTGACATCTAATAGGTGATAGAGTTGGGGTTCAAATCTGGAGGACAGCCTGACTCTACAGTTCTTGCTTTTTTTTTTTTGGACAGGGTCTCGCTCTGTTTCCCAGGCTAGAGTGCAGTGGTACAATCCTGGCTCACTGCAGCCTCAACCTCCCAGGGCTCAGGTGATCTTCCTGCCTCAGCCTCCACTGAGTAGCTGGGATTACTGGCACGTGCCACCACGCCTGGCTAATTTTTGTATTTTTTTGTAGAGATAGGGTTTTTCTATGTTGCTCAGGTTGGTCTTGAACTCCTGGACTCAAGCCAGCCTCCTACCTCAGCCTCCCAAAGTGCTGGGATTATAGGCATGAGGCACCGTGCCCGGCCCATGCTTTTCTTAAATGCTGTGGAATTGTGCCTCCCCATGTGTGTGTGTGTTCGGAGTAGGCACAGTGACAGGGGGCGGGAATATGGTTTCATTTCACACTTAGCCTTTGTTTGGTTCCCAGAGACTTCTAGGAGTATCACCGCCAGTCCAAAGGAGTCAGACTCTCCAGCTGGTGAGTAAGTCATCCTCTCCAGACCCCCTTCCTTCTCACCCGTCTCTTCACCAAAGCCAACTCCTTTGTCTACGCAGGGGCTGCAGCTCTCAGATCTTGGGTTCCAGTGTGTAGAGTAAAGGCAGAATATCAGCGTATGGGGTTCAGAATTGGGCATTAAGATCAGGTGGGAAGGTTGAGATTTTAAAAAGGGTCAGAGAAAGAGAGATTCCATCTCTTCCCCACCCCTTATAACTGTCCTCTCTTTTGCAATGCATCAGATAACGAGGCAGCATCTGTGTCTGGGGAGGAGTTGTCTCAGAGCCCTGTGAGAGCACAGGAGGGAGAGGTGCTACTTAGAGAATTGGGGTCATCTGGCCCTGACCCCTACTCGGGAAGGGAGGGACCCTCCAGGAAAGTGAGCGGCATCCCCTAGCTAGTAGAGAATAATAGGATCTCTGAGAAGCCCAGATGTGGCTTGGAGGGGGTCCTGGAGGTGGGCTCTTTCACCTGCTCCTGCCTCTCCTCATTCCTCCAGGTCCTGCCCGCCAGTACTACACCAAGGGCAACCTGGTCCGGATATGCCTCGGGGCTGTGATCCTAATAATCCTGGCGGGGTTTCTGGCAGAGGACTGGCACAGCCGGAGGAAGCGCCTGCGGCACAGGGGCAGGGCTGTGCAGAGGCCGCTTCCGCCCCTCCCGCCCCTCCCGCTGACCCGGAAATCAAACGGGGGTCAGGATGGAGGCCGACAGGATGTTCACAGCCGCGGGTTATGTTCATGACCGCTGAACCCCAGGCACGGTCGTATCCAAGGGAGGGATCATGGCATGGGAGGCGACTCAAAGACTGGCGTGTGTGGAGCGTGGAAGCAGGAGGGCAGAGGCTACAGCTGTGGAAACGAGGCCATGCTGCCTCCTCCTGGTGTTCCATCAGGGAGCCGTTCGGCCAGTGTCTGTCTGTCTGTCTGCCTCTCTGTCTGAGGGCACCCTCCATTTGGGATGGAAGGAATCTGTGGAGACCCCATCCTCCTCCCTGCACACTGTGGATGACATGGTACCCTGGCTGGACCACATACTGGCCTCTTTCTTCAACCTCTCTAATATGGGCTCCAGACGGATCTCTAAGGTTCCCAGCTCTCAGGGTTGACTCTGTTCCATCCTCTGTGCAAAATCCTCCCGTGCTTCCCTTTGGCCCTCTGTGCTCTTGTCTGGTTTTCCCCAGAAACTCTCACCCTCACTCCATCTCCCACTGCGGTCTAACAAATCTCCTTTCGTCTCTCAGAACGGGTCTTGCAGGCAGTTTGGGTATGTCATTCATTTTCCTTAGTGTAAAACTAGCACGTTGCCCGCTTCCCTTCACATTAGAAAACAAGATCAGCCTGTGCAACATGGTGAAACCTCATCTCTACCAACAAAACAAAAAAACACAAAAATTAGCCAGGTGTGGTGGTGCATCCCTATACTCCCAGCAACTCAGGGGGCTGAGGTGGGAGAATGGCTTGAGCCTGGGAGGCAGAGGTTGCAGTGAGCTGAGATCACACCACTGCACTCTAGCTCGGGTGACGAAGCCTGACTTTGTCTCAAAAAATACAGGGATGAATATGTCAATTACCCTGATTTGATCATAGCACGTTGTATACATGTACTGCAATATTGCTGTCCACCCCATAAATATGTACAATTCTGTATACATTTTTAAAATCATAAAAATAAGATAATGCACCGTCTCCACCCCTCTCATATTTACTTTCTGAAGGAAATGTTAGGTCTTCTCAAGGTAAAGTTCTATATTTATTATAGCGTTTAGGCATTTCTTGACCATCTAATGAGTGTAAAACTGTACCACTGGGCCAAGTGCAGTGGATCATGTCTGTAATCCTAGCACTGTGGGAGGCCAAGGCAGGAGGATCGCTTGAGCCCAGGAGTTCAAGACCAGCCTGGGCAACATAGTGAGACCCCATCTCTACTTAAAATAAAGAAGATAAAAATTGTTTTAAAAAAGGAAAAGAATGGCTGGCCACAGTGGCTCACGCCTGTAATCCCGGCACTTTGGGAGGTTGAGGTAGGTGAGTCACTTGGGAAAAGACAGAAGGATGGCACCAAGAAGTTCCAGGACGACGGCTGTGAATCAGGGCTAGTGAGCACACAGCTTGGGTGAAGGGGGAATGGGAAAGTTGCTTAGAGAAGCCTCCAAATGTAAGAATGGGTCAATTCCTCGTCTTAACATAGTGGAAAATCATACTGAGATGCTATCAGAAGACAGAGGAAAAATAATTTTAGAGGTCAAGTAAACTAAGTAGATTTTAAAAAGACCAGTATAGCCTAGGCACAGTGGCTCACACCTGTAATCCCAGCACTTTGGGAGGCTGAGGCGGGATCGCTTGAGCCTAAGAGTTCGAGACCAGCCTGGGCAACATGGTGAAACCTTGTCTCATATACAAAAAATATAAAAAATTAGCTGGGTGTGGTACCACATGCCTACTCTCAGGTACTCAGGAGGCTGAGGTTGGGGATCACCTGAGCCCGGGGAGGTTGAGGCTGCAGTGAGCCATGATTGCACCACTGCTGTCAAACCTGGGTGACAGAGTGAGACCCTGCCTCAAAAGAAAATAAAAATAAAAAACAAATATAAACTTTAGGGGAACAATAACAACAACAAAAATAAAAGAAGCAAGTTATATTACCCGAAAATTCTCGGCTGCGAATATCTGTGGGTATAAACATGTGATACTGGCCGGGCGTGGTGGCTCATGCCTGTAATCCCAGCACTTCGGGAGGCTGAGGTGGGCAGATCACGAGGTCAGGAGATCGAGACCAGCTCAGCCAACATGGTGAAACCCTGTCTCTACTAAAAATACAAAAATTAGCCAGTCGTGGTGGCACACGCCTGTAGTCCCAGCTACTCAGGAGACTGAGGCTGCAGTGAGCTGAGATTGCGCCACTGCACTCCAGCCTGGGTGACAGAGTGAGACTCTGTCTCAAAAAAAAAAAATGTGATACTGAATGTTGATATGCAGACATAGAGATAAACATTGGAAGAGAAAAAACAGTAAGAACAACGCTGTAGAATAACTAAGGCCCCGCCTATTATGATAGGAATCCAGTAAGTCTAAGCTCATTCACATGGTTACATGTTTTTAGAAACCTAATATTAACAAGTTCCTAAAGAAAACAGCTAAAAGTGGGTGTCTCTTAGGCGGAGCAATGGAGGAGATGGTTAGTCAGCCACTGCATTTTGTACACACCCTTTTAGTGCTATTGGAATTTTTTAGGTAGGTGCTGTCAGGCCTCTGAGCCCAAGCTAAGCCATCATATCCCCTGTGACCTGCACGTACACATCCATATGGCTGGTTCCTGCCTTAACTGATGACATTCCACCACAAAAGAAGTGAAAATGGCCTGTTACTGCCTTAACTGATGACATTGTCTTGTGAAATTCCTTCTCCTGGCTCATCCTGGCTCAAAAGCTCCCCTACAGAGCACCTTGTGACCCCCACTCTGCCCGCCAGAGAACAACCCCGCTTTGACTGTAATTTTCCTTTACCTACCCAAATCCTATAAAACGGCCCCACCCCATCCCCCTTCGCTGACTCTCTTGTCGGACTCAGCCCACCTGCACCCAGGTGATTAAAAGCTTTATTGCTCACACAAAGCCTGTTTGGTGGTCTCTTCACATGGACGCACATGAAATTTGGTGCCGTGACTTGGATCGGGGGACCTCCCTTGGGAGATCAATCCCCTGTCTTGCTCTTTGCTCTGTGAAAAAGATCCACCTACGACCTCAGGTCCTCAGACCCACCAGCCCAAGGAACATCTCACCAAGTTTAAATTGGGTAAGCGACCTCTTCTTACTCTCTTCTCCAACCTCTCTCACTGTCCCTCAACCACTTTCTCCTTTCCACTCTTCAATCTCTCCCTTCTCTTAATTTCAATTCCTTTCATTTTCTGGTAGAGACAAAGGAGACACGTTTTATCTGTGGACCCAAAACTCCGGCGCCGGTCACGGACTAGGGAAGGCAGCCTTCCCTTGGCGTTTAATCATTGCAGGGACGCCTCTCTGATTATATACCCACGCTTCAGAGGTGTCAGATCACGCAGGGATGCCTGCCTTGGTCCTTCACCCTTAGTGGCAAGTCCCACTTTTCTGGGGAAGGGGCAAGTTCCCCAACCCCTCCTCTCCATGTCTCTACCCCTTCTCCACCTTTCTGGGGGGCAAGAAACCCCCAACCCCTTCTCCTTCACTCTTAGCGGCAAGTCCCGCTTTTCTAGAGGGGCAAGTACCCCAACCTCGTATCTCTGCACCCTGATCCCTTATTTCCATGCCCCAACCTCTTATCTCTGTGCCCCAACCCCTTATATCCATGCCCCAACCCCTTTCCCGCTTTTCTGGAAGGTAAGAACTCCCGAACCCCTTCCCTCCGTGTCTCTACTCTCTCTTTTCTCTAGGCTTGCCTCCTTCACTATGGGCAACCTTCCACCCTCCATTCCTCCTCCTTCTCTCCCTTGGCCTGTGTTCTCAAAAACTTAAAACCTCTTCAACTCACACCTGACCTAAAACCTAAATGCCTTATTTTCTTCTGCAATGCCGCTTGACCCCAATACAAACTGGACAGCAGTTCCAAATAGCCAGAAAACAGCACTTTCAATTTTTCCATCCTGCAAGATCTAAATAATTCTTGTCGTAAAATGGGCAAACGGTCTGAGGTGCCTGACGTCCAGGCATTCTTTTACACATCAGTCCCTTCCTAGTCTCTGTGCCCAGTGCAACTCGTCCCAAATCTTCCTTCTTTCCCTCCTGCCTGTCCCCTCAGTCTCAACCCCAAGCGTCGCTGAGTCTTTCTAATCTTCCTTTTCTACAGACCCGTCTGACCTCTCCCTCCTCCCCAGGCTGAGCTAGGTCCCAATTCTTCCTCAGCCTCCGCTCCTCCACCGTATTATCTTTTTATCACCTCCCCTCCCCACACCTGGTCCAGCTTACAGTTTCGTTCAGTGACTAGCCCTCTTCCACCTGCCCAGCAATTTACTCTTAGAAAGGTGGCTGGAGCTAAAGGCATAGTCAAGGTTAATGCTCCTTTTTCTTTATCCCAAATCAGATAGTGTTTAGGCTCTTTTTCATCAAATATAAAAATCCAGCCCAATTCATGGCTCGTTCGCCAGCAACCCTGAGAAGCTTTACAGCCCTAGACCCTTAAAAGTCAAAAGGCCGTCTTATTCTTAATACACATTTTATTACCCAATCTGCTCCCGACATTAAATAAAACTCCAAAAATTAAATTCCGGCCCTCAAACCCCACAACAGGATTTAATTAACCTCGCCTTCAAGGTGTACAATAATAGAAAAAAGTTGCAATTCCTTGCCTCCACTGTGAGACAAACCCCAGCCACATCTCCAGCACACAAGAAGGGAACTGAACCGCAGCGGCCAGGCGTTCCTCCAGAACCTCCTCCCCCAGGAGCTTGCTACAAGTGCCAGAAATCTGACCACCAGGCCAAGGAATGCCTGCAGCCCAGGATTCCTCCTAAGCCGTGTCCCATCTGTGCGGGACCCCACTGGAAATCGGACTGTTCAACTCACCTGGCAGCCACTCCCAGAGCCCCTGGAACTCTGGCCCAAGGCTCTCTGACTCCTTCTCGGCTTAGCGGCTGAAGACTGATGCTGCCCAATCGCCTCGGAAGCTCTGTAGACCATCACGGATGCCGAGCTTCGGGTAACACTCACGGTGGAAGGTAAGTCCGTCGCCTTAGTCAATACGGAGGCTACCCACTCCACATTACCTTCTTTTCAAGGGCCTGTTTCTCTTGCCTCCATAACTGTTGTGGGTATTGACGGCCAGGCTTCTAAACCCCTGAAAACTCCCCCACTCTGGTGCCAACTTGGACAACACTCTTTTATGCACTCTTTTTTAGTTATCCCCACCTGCCCAGTTCCCTTATTAGGCCGAGATATTTTAACCAAATTATCTGCTTCCCTGACTATTCCTGGACTACAGCCGCATCTCATTGCCACCCTTCTCCTCAACCCAAAGCCTCCTTCGCGTCTTCCTCTCCTATTCCCCCACCTTAACCCACAAGTATGGGACATCTCTACTCCTTCCCTGGCAACTGATCACATACCCGTTACCATCCCATTAAAACCTAATCACCCTTACCCTGCTCAATGCCAATATCCCATCCCACAGCACACTTTAAAAGGATTAAAGCCTGTTATCACTCGCCTGCTATAGCATGGGCTTCTAAAACCTATAAACTCTCCTTACAATTCCCCCATTTTACCTGTCCAAAAACCGGAAAAGTCTTACAGATTAGTTCAGGATCTGCGCCTTATCAAATTGTTTTGCCTATGCACCCTGTGGTGCCCAACCCCTACACTCTTTTGTCCTCAATACCTTCCTCCACAACTCACTATTCCATGCTTGATCTTAAAGATGCTTTTTTCACTATTCCCCTGCACCCCTCGTCCCAGCCTCTCTTCGCTTTCACTTGGACTGACCCTGACACCCATTAGGCTCAGCAAATTACCTGGGCTGTACTGCTGCAAGGTTTCACAGACAGCCCCCATTACTTCAGTCAAGCCCAAAGTTCATCCTCATCTGTTACCTATCTCGGCATAATTCTCATAAAAACACACGTGCTCTCCCTGCTGATCGTGTCTGACTGATCTCTCAAGCCCCAGCACCTTCTACAAAACAACAACTCCTTTCCTTCCTAGGCATGGTTAGCGCGGTCAGAACTCTTACACAAGAGCCAGGACCACACCCTGTAGCCTTTCTGTCCAAACAACTTGACCTTACTGTTTTAGCCTAGCCCTCATATCTGCGTGCTGTGGCTGCCGCTGCTTTAATACTTTTAGAGGCCCTCAAAATCACAAACTATGCTCAACTCACTCTCTACAGCTCTCATAATTTCCAAAATCTATTTTCTTACTCACACCTGATGCATATACTTTCTGCTCCCTGGCTCCTTCAGCTGTACTCACTCTTTGTTAAGTCCCACAATTACCATTGTTCCTGGCCCGGACTTCAATCTGGCCTCCCACATTATTCCAGATACCACACCTGACCCCCATGACTGCATCTCTCTGATCCACCTGACGTTCACCCCATTTCCCCACATTTCCTTCTTCCCTGTTTCTCACCCTGATCACACTTAGTTTATTGATGGCGGTTCCACCAGGCCTAATCGCCACACACCAGCAAAGGCAGGCTATGCTATGGTACAAGCCACTAGCCAGCCTCTTAGAACCTCTCATTTCCTTTCCATTGTGGAAATCTATCCTCAAAGAAATCACTTCTCAGTGTTGCATCAGCTATTCTACTACTCCTCATGGATTATTCAGGCCCCCTCCCTTCCCTACACATCAAGCTCAAGGATTTGCCCCCGCCCAGGACTGGCAAATTAGCTTTACTCAACATGCCCCGAGTAAGATAACTAAAATACCTCTTAGTCTAGGTAGACACTTTCACTGGGTAAGTACAGTCCTTTCCTACAGGGTCTGAGAAGGCCACCGCAGTCATTTCTTCCCTTCTGTCAGACATAATTCTTCAGTTTAGCCTTGTCATTCCCTTCTGTCAGACAAAATTCCTCAGTTCAGCCTTCCCACCTCTATACAGTCTGCTAACAGACCAGCCTTTATTAGTCAAATCAGCCAAGCATTTTTTCAGGCTCTTAGTATTCAGTGACAGACTAATGGTCTATTAAAAACACACCTCACCAAGCTCAGCCACCAACTTAAAAAGGACTGGACAATACTTTTACCATTTTCGCTTCCAGAATTCAGGCCTGTCCTTGGAATGCTACAAGATACAGCCCATTTAAGCTCCTGTGTAGACACTCCTTTTTATTAGGCCCCAGTCTCATTCCAGACACCAGACCAACTTAGATTGTGCCCCAAAAAACTTGTCATCCCTACTATCTTCTGTCTAGTCATACTCCTATTCACCGTTCTCAACTACTCACACATGCCCTGCTCTTGTTTACACTGCCAGTTTACACTGTTTCTCCAAGCCAGCACAGCTGGTATCTCCTGGTACTATCCCCATACCGCCACTGTTAACTCTTAAAATAAATAAATAATCTTTGCTGGCAAGGCTATGCTGAACCTCCTTAGGCACTTTCTAATTAGATGTCCTGAGTCGTCCCAATTCTTAGACCTTTAATACCTGTTTTTCTCCTTTCCTTATTCCCTTTAGTTTTTCAATTCATACAAAACTGTATCCAGGCCATCACCAATAATTCTAAATGACAAATGTTTCTTTTAACAATCCCACAATGTCACCCCTTACCACAAAATCTTCCTTCAGCTTAATCGCTCCCACTTTAGGTTCCCACGCCGCCCCTAATCCTGCTCAAAGCAGCCTTGAGAAACATCACCCATTATCTCTCCATACCACCCCCAAAAATTTTTGCTGTCCCAACACTTTACCCCTATTTCATTTTATTTTTCTTATTAATATAAGAAGACAGGAATGTCAGGCCTCTGAGCCCAAGCTAAGCCATCATATCCCCTGTGACCTGCACGTACACATCCAGATGGCCGGTTCGTGCCTTAACTGATGACATTCCACCACAAAAGAAGCGAAAATGGCCTGTTCCTGCCTTAACTGATGACATTGTCTTGTGAAATTCCTTCTCCTGGCTCATCCTGGCTCAAAAGCTCCCCTACTGAGCACCTTATGACCCCGACTCTGCCCGCCAGAGAACAACCCCCCTTTGACTGTAATTTTCCTTTACCTACCCACATCCTATAAAACGGCCCCACCCCTATCCCCCTTCGCTGACTCTCTTGTCAGACTCAGCCCACCTGCACCCAGGTGATTAAAAGCTTTATTGCTCACACAAAGCCTGTTTGGTGGTCTCTTCACACGGACGTGCATGAAAGGTGCGTGTATATTTTTGTAACACAATAAATAATAACAGTATACACTTTTTCTTTTAGAAGTATGCTGTTAAACAGAATTAAGAACAGGAAGTCTCAAAATTGTTTCTTTCAGGAGAGAAGACTTATTAATGGGGGAGAGTTCTGAACCACTTGCTTTGCATACTGCCACTTAGTTAAAAAATCGCATTTTAACTTAAAAATATCCAAAAATAACACAGTTTTATAATAAATTATTACGAATATCACAAAATAATAAAAATACAAGTAATGCAGAGTGGAAATGCAAAGCTATGAGTGCTAGACGGCTAACAAGTCATAACAAACAACACCAAAATTAAAGAACAAGATAGTTGTGACTTACCTTGGTCAATCACTTTCCATAGTAGTCATTCAATCCAGGATCTCATCTCTGAAAATGAAGGAAAAAAGCAACAGAAAATAGTGTAGAGGTCTCTGGTGTTCCAAGAATAGGCGCTGCAGAGAGATGTGGGTGCCTGGGCTGTGCCCAGTCACTGAAATGGCACACCTGATGCTACCTGTTCACTTCGGGCTGAGCAGGAGAGAGAAAAGACGTTCCCCTCAGCCACTTCCCGTCTTCTGATTTCACTTCTTGCCTGCCTCCGACTGCAAATCCTGGTTTGACGTCACTTCCTGTCTTCTGATTTTACTTCCTGTATGACCTCACTTCCTGTCTTCTACAACCACTTCCTGTCTTCTTACTTCACTTCCTGTCTTCTGACTTTACTTCCTGTATGACTTCACTTCTTGTCTTCTACCACCACTTCCTGTCTTCCGAATTTACCTCCTATCTTGACTTCACTTCTTGTTTTTTTTTTTTTTTTTTGACAGGGTCTCGCTCTGTCTCCTAGGGTGGAGTGCAGTTGTGCCAGCTTGAAACCACCTTTCCAAAATTATGACTGAGACAGTGAAAGAGATTTAACTGACTCCATTTTGCTTCTAACCTCCAAGCTGTCCTTTTTCATTCCTGGGCATAGGCTGAACTTTGGGAGAAACTTATAGTTTAAACAAAGATGATAGCCCTTTTCCAAAGCACACCTCTTTGTTGCCTGGGGACTAGATTGGCCCTGTAGGACGAACATTAGCCACGAGATTAGAAATTATGACTTAGGAGTCATGCAGCTGGAGGCTACAAGATTGTGACCCTCCCTAAACTGCTTCTAAGATCAGCGTTTAACTTGCAGACCCTGTACTTGATGGATCAGCTGGCACCACCCATATCAATAAACTGGCCCATCTTATCTTTTGGCCTCCACTCAGGAACTGAGTGCAAGAAGATAGCTTTGGCTCCCACGATTTCATCCCTGACCAAACAGCACTCCTGGCTCACTGGCTTCCCACCCACCCACCAAGTTATCCTTAAAAACGCTTCCTGAATGCTGGGAGACACTGATTTGAATAATAATAAAACTCTGGTCTCTCGTAGAGCCAGCTCTGCATGAATTATTCTCTATTGCGATTCCCTGTCTTGACGAATCAGCTCTGTCTAGGCAGTGGGCAAGGTGAACACATTGGACTATTACAATCTTGGCTCACTGCAACCTCCACCGCCTGGGTTCAAGTGATTCTCCTGCCTCAGACTCCCAAGTAGCTGAGATCACAGACGTGCACTACCATGCTCAGCTACATTTTTTTTTCTGTCCCCCGGGCTGGAGTGCAATGGTGCGATCTCGGCTCATTGCAACCTCCGCCTTCCGGGTTTAAGCGATTCTCCTGCCTCAGCCTCCAGAGTAGCTGGGATTACAGGCATGCACCACCAAGCCTGGCTACTTTTGGTATTTTTAGTAGAGACAGGGTTTCACCATGTTGGCCAGGCTGGTCTCAAACTCCTGACCTCATGTGATCCACCTGCCTCTGCCTCCCAAAGTGCTGGGATTACAGGTGCGATCCACCATGCCCAGCCCATTCCGTCTTCTGACTTGACTTCCTGCCTGACTTCACTTCCTGAAGGATGTGGTTACCATGGAAGTTGTTTTGGGGCACAGGATGTGGTCTGGGATTGGGGATTGTGAAAAGCAAGACCCTCACCGGGGTCTTTCTTCCAGAGCTGCAGCTGAGCCACAGGATCTTGAACAGGAGAGAGTTCTTCCTATTCTTGTGGAAGAGCTGAGGATTGAGAAAAGCGCGGCTTAGCTCATGGGAGTGACCTTAGCTTTGAGAAGCCTGAAAATGAGGCTTGGAGGTAGAGAGTGGTGTGTGTGTGTGCGCGTTGGGGGAGGGGGTCAGGCTCTCATGACTTCTGGCTCTTTTTTTTGCTCCAGGAACATTTCCCAAGCCCACCATCTGGGCTAACCCAGCCCTCGTGGTTCCTGGGTGCAAACATGGCCGTGGAATTGTGGAATGGTTTTTTTTGTATCCTTAGCAGAGAACCCAGTGAATACTTTGTTCTTGATCATCAATGTGATGAGATCCAGAGCAAGCAAGTGCTAATGCTGCTGTGAGCCTGAGGCCACATTTTCAGAATTCAGTGATGGGCGGAGGCGAGTGGTCACAGGTATAGGGAGAGCAGTACTTGTTCATCTCTGAACGTATAGATTCAGACACACATGAACCCATGTGCCACAGGTTTCCCTGTTTAGGACTTGTAGGTCATGGGGGTGGGCATCTGAGAGTGTGGCTACATGAAATACACACGTTGGAGAAAGATGGTTAATTGTGAGTGCGAGTTTACATTTCATGGGCCCCTGGGGTGTCGATAGTTCCTCAATGGATGTAGATCCGTTACTCAATTTCTTCTCTAAAGATGGGGCTAGATTACAATGGTTCTCAACCTAAGAAAACTTTGCATTTCAGGAAATATTTTCTACTGCCCAGAGACATTTTTGATCACTGTTAACTGTGAGGATGTGAGCTGGTATCTAGGGGGTAGAGGCTAGGGATGGTGCCGAACACCCTGGAAATGTACAGGACGTTTCCCAACGAGTAGTGATCCGATCCCAAATGTCAATAGTGTGGAGAAGGAGAAACCTTTAGTTTCTTCACGCAATGTCCTTTTTAAACTTTGTGCCTCTCTTTTTACCAACCTTCCCCCTTCTTCCCGCTGAAACTGAGAATAAAGATGCTCTGGAGGCCGGGCACGGTAGCTTATGTCTGTAATCCCAGCACTTTGGGAGACCGAGGCAGGCAGATCGCTTGAGGTTAGGGGTTCGAGACCAGCCTGGCCAGCGCGGTGAAACCCTGTCTCTACTAAAAATGCAAAAATTATCCGGGAGCCTGAGGCAGAATTGCTTGAACTTGGGAGGCAGAGGCTGCAGTAAGCCGAGGTCACACCACTGCACTCCAAACCGGGCAATGGAGCGAGACTGTCAAAAAAAAAAAAAAATGCTCAGGGAATGACCCATGCCGCATTGAACAAGGACACCTTGAACCAGGAAACCTCAGAAGCCCACACTGTATGCAGTGGAACTGGAAAGTGATGGAGTGGTTTAAAGGTAGTATCAGAGAACTTGGATCTAGTCGGTGGGAATAAACCAATAGCCCCTGATGAAGAAATGAAAGTAGGAAGAGAGATTAACTTTTTTAGTTTTAAATTTAAATATTAAAACTACTTTTGACCAGGTGTGGTGGCTCATGCCTATAATCCCAGCATTTGGGGAGGCCAAGGTGGGCAGATCACCTGAGCTCAGGAGTTCAAGACCAGTCTGGACAACGTGGCAAAACCCTATCTCTACCAAAAATGCAAAAATTACCTGGGTGCAGTGGTGCACACCTGTGGTCCCAGCTACATGGGAGGCTGAGATGGGAGAACTGCTTAAACTGGGGAGGTGGAGGCTGCAGTGACCCGAGATCGTGCCATTGCATTCCAGCCTGGGTGAAAGAGCAAGATTCTGCCACCAAAAAAAAAAAAAAAAAAAAAAAAAAAAAAGAAAAAAATGTTGCCAGGTGCGGTGACTTATACCTGTAATCCCAGCACTTTGGGAGACCAAGGCTGGTGGATCACCTGAGGTCGGGAGTTCGAGACCAGCCTGACCAACATGGAAAAACCCCGTCTCTGCTAAAAATTCAAAATTAGCCAGGCTTGGTGGCACATGCCTATAATCCCAGCTACTCAGTAGGTCGAGGCAAGAGAATCGCTTGAACCCGGGGAGGCGGAGGTTGCAGTGAGCCAAAATCGTGCCATTGCACTCCAGCCTGGGCAACAAGAAGAAACTGTCTCAAAACAAACAAAAAAAAACATGATTAGTGTTTAATAAAAATTTGTACTGTTCTTTTTCCCCCTTACCGTCCATTTGTTTGCTCATCCAGTAAACACAGACAGCAACAAAGTCTCCCCATGAGAAGCAACTTTGCCAACTAGTGTTGTCTTTATAGTACAGTTCGTTTTGTTTGTGGTTTTACAGCGTAGAGCTTGCACTGCTGCTTTGTTGAATTTGGAATTCTGTATCACAAGGAAATAATGGAGACTCTATAGTGAAAAACTATGCATACCATGAGATTTTGTTTTTTTTTGGAGAAGGAGTCACTCTGTTGCCCAAGCTGGAATGCAGTAGTGCAGTCTTCAGCACAGTGCAACATCCACCTCCTGGGTTTAAGCAATTCTCCTGCCTCAGCCTCCCAAGTAGCTGGGATTACAGGCATGTGCCACCATGCCTGGCTAATTTTTTATATTTTTAGTAGAGACGGGGTTTCACCACGTTGGCCAGGTTGGTCTCCAACTCCTGACTTCGTGATCCACCCACCTCAGCCTCCCGAAGTGCTGGGATTACAGGTGTGAGCCACCGTGCCTGGCCGAGATTCTATTTTAAGTTAGAATTTTTAAAAAGCAAAATCAGAGCAATGACATGGTCATATATGAGCTACACCGAAGCACCTAAAATATTGTAGATTGGTAGGAGAAATCCTCTGGCAAGTAATACTCAGCAGGCAGTGATCCACGCAGGTCAACAAGTAACAAGACAGGCTAGGCACAGTGGTTCACACCTGTAATCCTAGCACTTTGGGAGGCTGAGGCAGGAATATTACTTGCGCCTGGGAGTTTGAGATCAGCCTGGGCAACATAGTGAGACCCTGTCTTCAAAAAAAATCCCACAAAAATTGGCCTGGTTTGGTGGTGTGCACCTGTAGTCCCAGCTACTGAGGAGGCTGAGGCTGGAGGATCGCTTGAACCTGGGAGCTTGAGGCTGCAGTGAGCTATCATCATGCTGCTGTATTCCAGCCTGGGCAACAGAGCAACACTCATGCTTGAGGAAAAAGAAAAAGAAAAAAAAAAAAGCCGGGTACAGTGGCTCATGCCTGTAATCCCAGCACTCTGGGAGGCTGAGGTGGGTGGATCACTTGAGGTCAGGAGTTTGAGACCAGACTGGCCAACATGGTGAAACCTCATCTCTATTAAAAATACAAAAAAATTTAGCCGGGTGTGGTGGGGGATGCTTGTAATCCCAGCTACTCAGGAGGCTGAGACAGGAGAATCGCTTGAACCTGCCAGGTTGTAGTAAGCTGAGATCGTGCCAGTGTACTCCAGCGTGGGCAACAGAGTGAAACTCAGTCTAAAAAAAAAAAAAAAAAAAAAGAAAAGAAAAAAGAAAGGAAATACCAAGGCAAGGCAAAGATTGACAAGGCAATAGAAATCAATGCAATTAAACACTGTCACTTCCCCCACCCCCCAGGTTCTACCCAGTAAGATATCTTTTCTCTAACTTGTCAAAGCCCATTATTAAGTAACAGCTTCATTTGTGAATGCTCTCACCTTTATTTCTCTCAATATACCCGTGATACAGATATTTCATATGTAACAAAGATAAGGATGTGTGCAGGTATAAAACAGAGGCAGAATCATGGCTAAAACATCTAGCCCAGCAATGAACTCATTATCCCTGAGGGGTAGGGGCCGGGGAGGAGAGGAGTCACAGGCAGTTCACCAACACCTGGAAAATCGATGACTTCATGGAGAATGAATGACTCGGGGGGATTCAGATCATGAAGTCATGAGAAGAAGGCCTTTCTGCCCAGGGATGATGTTTCTCAGTATCAATAATCAGTTGTGGGTTTTTTTCTTCTATTTCTTCCAGCAGCTTATTGAGTTCATCATTAAAGTCATCGATTTTCAACCTGGGGTACAATGGGGGAAGAAAAGGTTACTTTGTGCATCAAGGAGATTTGTTTCAAATTCCCAAGTACCTGAAAGTCTGTTAAGGAGGCACAGGGCATGGGTCACCTTTCCTGATTATTCTAGGTGGCAAAGGAGTGTTCCACATTGATTTTTTTTTTTTTTTTTTAAAAGACAGTCTCAGGTGGGGCGTGATGGCTCACGCCTGTAATTCCCAGCACTTTAGGAGGCTGAGGCGGGTGGATCACGAGGTCAGCAGATCAAGACCATCCTGGCTAACACGGTGAAACCCTGTCTCTACTAAAAAAATACAAAAAATTAGCCGGGCGTGGTGGCGGACGCCTGTAGTCCCAGCTACTCAGGAGGCTGAGGCAGGAGAATGGTGTGAACCCGGGAGGCGGAGCTTGCAGTGAGCCGAGATCGTGCCACTGTACTCCAGCCTGGGCGATCTCAAAAAAAAAAAAAAAAAAAAAAAAAAAAAAAAAAAAAAAGACAGTCTCTCTGTTGCCCAAGCTGGAGTGCAGTGGTACCATCTCAGCTCACTGCAACCTGTGCCTCTTGGGTTCAAGCCATCCTATCCTCTGCCTCCCGAGTAGCTGGGACTACAGGCACCTGCCACCATGCTCAGCTAATTTTTGTATTTTTAGTAGAGTTGGGGTTTTACCATGTTGCCTAAACTGTACCTGGCTTGATTTGCTTATTTTTTATTTTTAAATATAAAATGAGGCCAGATGTGGTGGGTCATGCCTGTAATGCCAGCACTTTGGGAGAGTGAGGTGGGCAGATCACTTGAGGTCAGGAGTTTGAGACCAGCCTAGGCAAGATGGTGAAAGTCCATCTCTACTAAAAATATAAAAGTTAGTTGGGTGTGATGGTGCATCCCTATAATCCCAGCTACTCAGGAAGCTGACACAGGAGAATCACTTGAACCTGGGAGGCGGAGGTTACAGTGAGCTGAGATCGGGCCCCTGCACTCCAGCCTGAGCAATAGAGTGAGATTTTTGTCTAAAAAATAAATGAAGTAAATAATAAAATGTAATATTAAAGACTTTCATTTCTCTTTTTAATCCTTTTTTTCATTCCTCTTATTCTCAACCATGTTGATCTGATAGAGAAAAACATAACATCAGGTTAACCTTGTAATGGTATATAGCCATTGTGCAGTTTGAGATGCTTGTTGATTATCATACACAGAAAATGGAATTGCTGAGTACAGCTGGGCTATAGCTCTAATACCTGCTTACCCGCTCTATCACCCACTTTGGCAACTTCTACTCAGTGGACCCCGGAGTACCAGTTAAACAGAGGAGATGCAGGCCAGGCATGGTGGCTCACGCCTGTAATCTTAGCACTTTGGGAGGCTGAGGCAGGCGGGTCACCTGAAGTCAGGAGTTCGAGACCAGCCTGACCAATATGGAGAAACCCTGTCTCTATTAAAAATACAAGATTAGCCAGGTGTGGTGGCACATGCCTGTAGTCCCAGCTACTTGGGAGGCTGAGGGAGGAGAACCTCTTGAACCCGGGAGGCGGAGGTTGCAGTAAGCCGAGATAGCGCCATTGCGCTCCAGGCTGGACAACAAGAGTAAAACTCTGGCCGGGCGGGGAGGTGGGGGGGTCAGCCCCCCGCCCAGCCAGCCGCCCTGTCCGGGAGGTGAGGGGCGCCTCTGCCCGGCCGCCCCTAATGGGAAGTGAGGAGCCCCTCTAACCGGCCAGCCGCCCTGTCCGGGAGGGAGGTGGGGGGGTCAGCCCCCCATTTTGTTCTGTACTAAGAAAAATTCTTCTGCCTTGGGATCCTGTTGATCTGTGACCTTACCCCCAACCCCGTGCTCTCTGAAACATGTGCTGTGTCCACTCAGAGTTAAACGGATTAAGGGCGGTGCAAGATATGCTTTGTTAAACAGATCCTGAAGGCAGCACGCTCGTTAAGAGTCATCACCACTCCCTAATCTCAAGTACCCAGGGACACAAACGCTGCGGAAGGCCGCAGGGTCCTCTGCCTAGGAAAACCAGAGACCTTTGTTCACTTGTTTATCTGCTGACCTTCCCTCCACTATTGTCCTATGACCCTGCCAAATCCCCCTCTGTGAGAAACACCCAAGAATGATCAATAAAAAAAAAAAAAAAAAAAAAGGAAAAAAAAAAAAAAAAAAGAAAAAAGATGCACCCCAAAAAAAAGAGTAAAACTGTCTCCAAAATAAATAATAAATAAACAAACAAACAAACTTAAAGCTTAAAAAAACCCTTAGTGTCCATATGTCTTTTGACTTACAAAGTATCTTAGGCTGAGTTTCATGTTAAATAAACAAGTAATCTATGTTTCTTCTACATAAAGATTATTTTAAGCCAGCAGTAGAGTATATTGCTTGTGAGAATTTCTGAAGTTCCCACATTCCTAGGAAGGGGCTTCTTGGTTCTTTGATGCCATGGTATCAAAATACAACTCAGGCCGGGTGCGGTGGCTCATGCCTGTAATCCCAGCACTTTGGGATGCTGAGGTGGGCAAATCACGGAGGTCAGGAGTTTGAGACCACCCTGGCCAACATGGCAAAACCCTGTCTCTACTAAAAATACAAAAATTACCTAGGTGTGGTGGTGCATGCCTGTAATCCCAGCTACTTGGGAGGCTGAAGCATGAGAATAGCTGGAACCTGGGAGGTGGAGGTTGCAGTTAGCAACCACTGCACCCCAGCCTGGGCAACAGAGTGAGACTCCATCTCAGAAAAAAAAAAAAAAAAAGAAAGAAAAAACAAAACAAAACCCCAAAACCCTGACAAAATGCAACAAACAAAACACAGCCCAGTGACAAATGGCTATCATGAGCAGGTAGACGGCAGCCGTGGCTGGGTGCAATGGTTCATGCTTATAAACCTACCTACTCAGGAACTGAGGCAGGATTGCTTGAGCCCAGGAGCTGGAGCGAGCCTGCAGCGAGCCATCATTGTGCTGCTGGACTCCAGCCTGGGGAACATAGTGAGTTCTTGCCTCAAAGGAAAAAAAAAAAAAAGGTGGCCGGGTGCGGTTGCTCACGCCTGTAATCCCAGCACTTTGGGAGGCCGAGGCGGGCGGATCACCTGAGGTCAGGAGTTTGAGACCAGCCTGACCAACATGGTGAAACCCCGTTTCTCCAAGTGAAATACAGAAATTGGCTGGGTGTGATGGCGGGAACCTGTAATCCAGCTACCAGATCAGTCTCCTACAGCAGGTCCATGTCATTATGCTTCCCCTAAACCTACCACTCTGGAGAAAGCCTGATGGGGAAGTAAATGGATCATACCTGAGTGTCCGGAGGGTGCCACTGGAACATGTCAAGGTTTCAAACAGCATCTTCACTCCACTAGACCCCAAGGGATTCTGACCCAGGTCCAGAGTGACGAGGCTCTGGTTGCAGCTGAGGGCAGAGCAGAGGTCTTCACAACTGAACGGAGGGATGGAACATCCCCACAACCTGGGGAAACACAGAAATCAACACGTTAATGCAGCCAGTGCTGATCGATGCCCTCCGGCAAGCCAAGCCCACCCTCGTGTGTTGGGGATCTGCATGACCAACAGAAGTCTCAGGCCGGGCACGGTGGTTCACGCCTGTAATCCCAGCACTTTGGGAGGCCGAGGTGGATGGATCACCTGAGGTCAAGGAGTTCAAGACCAACCTAACATGGTAAAACCGTGTCTCTACTAAATATACAGAAGTTAGCTGGGCGTGGTGACAGGCACCTGTAATCCCAGCTACTCAGGAGGCTGGGGCAGGAGAATCGCTTGAACCCAGGAGGCGGAGGTTGCAGTGAGCCGAGATCGCGCCATTGCACTCCAGCCTGGGTGACAGAGTGAGACTCCGGTCTCAAAAAACAAACAAAACGTCTCCGCCCTCAGGGCTCATCTGCTAACAGGAAAATATGGAGGCGATGAGGGGTTCTGAAGGGCAAGGGGTACAGGGAATAACTGGGGGTTCTGGCTACAATGGTTGGAGGTGAGGGGGTGAAGAGACCGAGTCATAGAGCTCGGGGGGGAGTTCTCCAGGCAGAGAAATAGCTTGTGCAGAGGCCCTGAAGATACATGTGACTGACACGTAAAATAGAACATCCAGGCAGCGGGCATGAGTGAGACAGGGAGGATTGTCAAGATGAGGTCATAGGTAAGCAGTGGCCAGCTCACAGAAGACCCTGAAGCCATCGTCAATATAGGATTTTACCTGGATTGACATAGGGAAGCACTGAGGCTTTTGAGCAGAGAGGTTAAATAACTTCCATCTTTGAAGTTATTCTTTGAGACAGTCTTGCTCTCTCGCCAGGGCTGGAGTGCTGTGGCATGATCTCGGCTCACTGTAGCCTCTGCCTCCTGGATTCAAGCAGTTCTCGTGCCTCCAAGTAGATGAGATTATAGCTATGTGCCACCATGCCTGCCTGATTTTTGTGGTTTTAGAGAGACAGGGTTTCACCTGTCTCTTTAGTAGAGACAGGCTGGTCTACGAACTCCTGACCTTAGGTGATCCACCTGCCTCGGCCTCCCAAAGTGCTGGAATTACAGGCATGAGCCACTGCACCCTGCCACTTTATTTTTTGAAACACGGTCTCACTCGGTTGCCCAGGCTGGAGTGTGGTAACGCCATCTTGGCTCACTGCAGCCTTGACCTCCTGGGCCAACCAGCAACTCAAACTTTTTGCTCCTCTACACGTGTCAGTGAGTGATTAAAAAGGCGCCTTTGTTTTTTTTGTTTTTTTTTTTTTTTTGAGACAGGATCTCACTGTCACCCAGGCTGGAGTGAGGTGACGTGATCTCAATTCGCTGTAACTTCTTCCTCCCAGGCTCAAGTGATCCTCCCACCTCAGCCTCCTGAGTAACTGGGAGCAGAGGTACACAGCCATGCTCAGCGGATTTTTGTACTTTCAGTAGAGACAGGGCTTCATTGTGTTGGCCAGGCTGTTTTTAAATTCTTGGCCTCAAGCAATCTACCTGCCTTGGACTCCCAAAATGCCAGGATTACAGGCATGAGCCACCTTGCCCATCCCGAGTCAAATTCTTTTAAGATTGCCTCCCAGATAGGATTCCAGGTTCAAGTGCATCTGATTGTAGCTAACTCACAAGGTATTTGTAAGATAGCCAAGTTGAGACCACTCACCTGCTGATAGAGCCAGCATTTTCTGGCACGATATCTAATTCCTACCTCTTTTTTATTTTTTCCTGAGATGGAGTCTTGCTCTTGTAGCCCAGGATGGAGTGTAGTGACAGGATCTCAGCTCACTGCAACCTCTGCCTCCAGGGTTCAAGTGATTCTCCTGCCTCAGCCTCCCAAGTAGCTGGGATTAAAGGCACCTACTGGCTGGGCACGGTGGCTCTCACCTGAGGTCCGGAGGTCGAGACCAGCCTGACCAACATGGAGAAACCCCGTCTATACTAAAAATACAAAATTAGCCAGGCATGGTGGCACATGCCTGTTTATTTGCAGCTATGTGGGAGGCTAAGGCAGGAGAATCACTTGAACCCAGGAGGTGGAGGTTGCAGTGAGCTGAGATCGCGCCATTACACTACAGCCTGGGCAACAAGAGTGAAACTATCTCAAAAAAAAAAAAAAAAAAAAAAGAGGCACCCACTACTATGCTCGGCTAATTTTTATATTTTAGTAGAGATGGAGTTTCAAGTTGGCCAGGCTGGTCTTGAGCTCCTGACCTTAAGTGATCCGCCCGCTTCGGCCTCCCGAAGTGCTGGGATTACAGGTATGAGCCACTGTGCCTGGCCCAATTCCCACCTCTCTGAATGTGGGGTGCTGGGCAGTGGCTTTTGGCTGAATGGCTTGAGGCACTGTATCCTTAAAATTTCACAGGTGTTCTTTGCATGACACAGACTAGAACTTAGACATAGGGCCTGGCGCAGTGGCTCACGCCTGTAATCCCAGCACTTTGGGAGGCCGAGATGGGCGGATCACCTGAGGTCAGGAGTTTGAGATGAACCTTCAACATGGCGAAACCCTGTCTCTACTAAAAATACAAGAATTAGCTGGGCATGGTGGCGGGCGCCTGTAATCCCAGCTACTCGGGAAGCTGAAGCAAGAGAATTGCTTGAACCTGGGAGGCGGAGGTTGCAGTGAGCCAAGATCACGCCACTGCACTCCAGCCTATGTGACAAGAGCAAAACTTCAAGAAAAAAAAAAACAAAAACTTAGACATAGACTAGAACTTATTCCTTTAACCATCCTAGTAAATGCTCGATCGACTCTATAAAGGTCCTCTCAATTATATAACTTGGGAAGTCGGCTTCACTGATTATTTTACACTAGCCACAGATTCAGTAAGGTGTAAGTATAGGAAGTTGAACTTATAAGTTAACTCACCACAGACATCTCAAGTTGCACAGTGGTTTCCTCAAAGCCTCACACAGGAACTTCATTCCCTTAACTCCTATGTGATTCAGCCCCAGATCCAAACACAACAGGCTTGATTTTTCTTGGAGAAGCTTTGTGAGATCGCAGCAGCCATCGCTAGTTATGTCGCAGTTCCAAAGCCTAGAAATCAACCACAGGAAGAAAGCAAACCCGAACCTGTGAGTTCTCACTGCTGTGATGCACCTTTGACTCTTGAGCCGTGGGTTAGACACACTTAGAGACAGTGGTGACATGGAAATGGAATCATGGGGTGGTGTGGTGGACAGAAGAATGGCCTCCCCTAAAGATGTCCAAGTCCCAACTCCTGGCACCTGCGAGCAAAAGGGACCTCGTAGAGGTGACTGAGCATCTTAAGATGGTTTATATCCTGGTTTATTTGGGTAGGTCCAGCAATCACAGGGATCCTCATAAGAGGGAGCTGAGAGTCAAAGCCAGCAGGAGGTGACGTGATAAGGGAGCCAGGGCAACGTTTGAAGATGCTCTGCCGAAGTTGGAGGAAGGGCCACAAGCCAAGGAATGCAGGTGGCCAACAGAAGTTGGAGAAGTAAAAAGGATTCTCAGCTGGCACGGTGGCTCACTTCAACCTCCGCCTCCTGGTTTCACGCGATTCTTGTGCCCCAGCCTTCCGAGTAGCTGGGATTACAGGGGGGTGTGTGTGTGTACACACATGCGCGTGCCACCACACCCAGCTAAGTTTTGTATTTTTAGTAGAGACAGGGTTTCCCCATGTTGGCCAGGCTGGTCTTGAACTCCCGACCTCAGATGATCTGCCCACCCTGGCCTCCCTAACATGCTGGGATTACGATTGTATTTGCTAAATTCAGTTGCTAGAGAGGTAGTGTCTTACAGGCAGAAGACACCAGCTCACACTCCAACATATCTGGTACTAGGATCCTAGATATTAACCAACACAGATTATCAGAGATATTTCACCTTAGCTCTGTTTTCTTTCTTCTGTCTCAATAGAGTTCTAAACTTAATTATAATTTGAACTATAATGCCCATGTATCTCTGGGTCCCAAGTGAAGCATACCACTAGCTGAGGGACACAGGACCTGGAAGGGCCTTGGAAATAGATGGCAGATTGGAGTCCATGACGATGGAGAAGTGAAAACACACCCCCAAATCTTGAAACTTTATGAATGTATAGAAACTTTTTTTTTTTTTTTTTTGAGACAGTCTCGCTCTGACACCCAGGCTGGAGTACAGTGGCACAATCTCAGCTCACTGCAACTTCCGCCTCCCAGGTTCAAGCAATTCTCTGCCTCACCCTCCCAAGTAAGCTGGGATTACAGGCTCCGACACCACGCCTGGCTAATTTTTGTATTTTTAGTAAAGACAGGGTTTCACCATGTTGGCCAGGCTGGTCTTGAACTCCTGACCTCATGATCCACCTGCCTCGGCCTCTCAAAGACCCTACCCGGCCTTCTAGAAACTTCCATGACTGTAATGGAGGAAAACCCACATAAGACTAAAGGGAAGTTGACAACTTAGCAAAATAGGGGCATGGATCAAAAAGTTGAATTGAGGGGGCCGGCACGGTGGCTCACACCTGTAATCCCAGCACTTTGGGAGGCTGAGGTGGGTGGATCACCTGAGGTCAGGAATTCGAGACCAGCTTGACCAACATGGTGAAAACTCGTCTCTACTAAAAATAAAGAAGTTAGCTGGGCGTGGTGGCATGCACCTTAATCCCTGGGAGGCTGAGGCAGGAGAATCACACCTGAACTCAGGAGGTGGAGGTTGCAGTGAGCTGAGATGGAGCCACTGCATTCCAGCCTGGGCGACAGAGCAAGACTATCAAAAAAAAAAAACCAAAAAAAAAAAAAAAAGAAAACCCCCCCCCCCCCAAAAAAATACCACACACACCACACACCACACACACACACAACCAAAAAAACTAGACATTCATTTGAAGATACAGTTAGTGAGTCGGTGACATCTCACTGCTTGTGGGACTTCTTTTTTAATGTTTCAGGGCCTAGATATAGTGGGTGTGGGAAGAATCCTTTCCTTCTACTCATCGTCTCCAGCCATGAACTGAATATGTCATTAAATTTAAGTGGGTAGTTTTCAGATGCCAGGTACATATCCTAGATTAGTTACTTCATAGGAAGAGGACAGTTCCTAACTGTTGGAGGTGATGTTAGAGACAAAGAATACCAGAGATATGTATGGCTGGACGCAGTGGCTCATGCCTGTAAATCCTAGCACTTTGGAAGGCTGAGGCGGGCGGATCATGAGGTCAGTTCGAGACCAACCTGGCCAACATGGTGAAATCCCATCTCTACTAAAAATATAAAAATTAGCCCGGCGTGGTGGTGAGTGCCTGTAATCCCAGCTACTCAGGAGGCTGAGGCAGGAGAATCAACCTCCTTGAAGCCGGAGGTTGCAGTGAGCCTAGATCATGCCATTGCCAGCGTGGGCAAGAGTAAAACTCCATCTTAAAAAAAAAAAAAAAAAATACCAGAGATGTTAACATAAAATCGAATCTCTGAACAGAAACCATCAGTGCAGATACAATTTTTTTTTTTTTTTGAGACAATCTCGTTCTGTCACCCAGGCTGGCACGATCTCGGCTCACTGCAACCTCCCGACTTCAAGCGATTCTCCTGCCTCAGCCTCCCAAGTAGCTGGGATTACAGGACCATACCACCACGCCTAGCTAATTTTTGTATTTTTAGTAGAGACAGGGTTTCACTGCATCAGCCAGGCTGGTCTCAAACTCCTGACCTCAGGTGTTCTGCCCGCCTCCTAAAGTGCTGAGATTACAGGCATGAGCCACCATGCCAGGCCCCAATTCCTTTCTAAAGATTTGTCCTATAATTTTTTTTTTTTGAGAGAGTCTTGCTCTATTGGCCAGACTGGACTTCAGTGGTGCCATCTCAGCTCACTGCAACCTCCACCTCCGAAGTTCAAGTGATTCTCCTGCCTTAGCCTCCTGAGTAACTGGGATTACAGGCATGTCCCACCATGCGTGACTAATTTTTGTATTTTTAGTAGAGAGACAATGTTTCACCATGTTGGGCAGGCTGGTCTTGAACTCCTGCCCTCAAGGGATCTGCCTTGCTTCGGCCTCCCAAGGTGATGGGATTATAGGCGTGAGCCACTATGCCAGGCCACGTGTCCTGTGATTTTAGTATTAAAAGGAGGATCACATTGAGCATGTAGCTTCCAATAGCTTCCATTGGGAGTCTGAGCGTACACTGGCCCAGAAGACTACCTGATTTGCAAATCATTCATTAAAAAATAAGTAAATGAATTCCATTTACAACCAATTGCATGCAATTTATGTTACAGTTATAGTTCTAAGAACACAGATTAAGAGAAAACACAGCATGGGGTGACATGGCTCATGCCTGTAATTCTAGCACTTTGGGAGGCCAAGGCAGGCAGATCTCTTGAGCTCAGGAGTTTGAGACCAGCCTAGGCAACACGGCGAGATCCCATCTCTAAAATACATACATACATAAAGAGGAAAAAAAAAACCCGAAAACCAGCTACATTCCCCAAATCCCTATAGAATATTACTACTACTCTACTACTACTTATACTTTTTTCCTACCATCATCTACCCAGGTCTTACCAGTTGTCATTAGCATCATGCTTGGAACTTTTAGAGGAATTAAGTGTTCTCATAACCACCCTACTCAAACCCGGAGGTGGGGGGCGTGTGCATATACACCCACGCACACAGGCAGCCAGCACGGACTTACACCAAGGTCTGCAGTTTACACTCGGGGTACCTCAAGCCCTCACACAGAAACTTCACCCCTGTATTCCCAATGGGGTTCTTGGCCAAGCACAGGTGTGTCAGCTCCCGGCTGACAACCAACACAGCAGCAAGGTCCTTGCAATTGGCTTCTGTAAGGTGACAGTTTTCCAACCTACAAAAGAATCACAAATGGCAACACGGTTGACAGGTCCAACTTCAACCTTCCCGGCTAGCTCCACAAGTGCCAGCATCCAAAAGCCCCTTCTTGTGAACTCCCCACCTTCTATCATGCACTGGTGATCCTATGAAGGAATAGGAATGAGAGAAGAACAAAATTCACAGGCCATCGGCCTGGATCTAAACATGGGAACAGGTGTTCACATCAGCGAGAGGTTCCATACAGCCAAGTCAGGCATGACCATTGCTCGTCTGTGGCCCCAGATCGAAAGCACAGCTGCTCTGTAAGAGAGGAGAGACTTACGACA
Organism: Homo sapiens; assembly: GCF_000001405.40. Classification (NCBI taxonomy): domain Eukaryota; kingdom Metazoa; phylum Chordata; class Mammalia; order Primates; family Hominidae; genus Homo; species Homo sapiens. The sequence continues at coordinate 702,349 of NW_003571061.2, read as the reverse complement.
ACCTCTGCAGAAAGCACTTGGGGTGTCTCAAAGTTGTGTACAGCAACTTAGCACCCTCATCCAGAAGCTCATTGTCGGAGAGGTTTACGCACGTCAGGGACTGGTTGACTTCAAGGGCCAAGGAGAGATCAGCCCACTGCTGAGTGGTAGCGGAACAAGACACCAACCTGTGGGAGAAATAGGACCACGTCATTTTTTTTTTTTTTTTGAGACTGAGTCTCACTCTTGTTGCCCAGGTGGCGCAATCTCGGCTCACAGCAACCTCCGCCTCCTGGGTTCAAGTGATTCTCCTGCCTCAGCCTCCCGAGTAGCTGGGACTGCAGGCATGCACCATGCACCAACATGCCCAGCTAATTTTGTATTTTCAGTAGAGGTGGGGGTCTCTCCATGTTGGTCAGGCTGGTCTCAAACTCCCAATCTCAGGTGATCTGCCCACCTCGGCCTCCCAGAGTGCTGGGATGACAGGCGTGAGCCACCGCGCCCGGCAGAACAAGTCATTCTTGAGAATCTAACCGTGGAATCGTCTTTGGTTTACATCTCACTGGTTGTGTTATACCCCGACTTGAATTATCTGGAGCAGCAGTTGTCAAAGGGTGGTCAGACCAGTGGCACCAACATCGCCCAGGAATCAGCTGGAAATACAGAACTTAGTCAATCTGACTCTAATGTTGGATGCAGACTCCGCTAACCTATGTTTCATTGTTTGGTTTTTTGAAAGGGAGTTATTTATGCTCTGTCGCCCTGGCTGGAGTGTAGTGGCGCGATCTCAGCTCACAGCAACCTCTGCCTCCCAGATTCAAGAGATTCTCCCGCCTCAGCCTCCTGAGTAGCTGGGATTACAGGCAAATGCCATCTTGCCTGGCTAATTTTTGTATTTTTTAGTAGAGATGGGGTTTTACCATGTTGGCCAGGCTGGTCTCAAACTCCTAACTTTGGCCGGGGCAATGGCTCATGCCTGTAATCCCAGCACTTTGGGAGGCCGAGGTGGGCAGATCAGGAGGTCAGGAGTTTGAGACCATCCTGGCCAACATGGTGAAACCCCGGCTCTACTAAACATACAAAAGTTAGATGGGCGTGGCGACACGTGCCTGTAGTCCCAGCTACTCAGGAGGCTGAGGCAAGAGAATCACTTGAACCCAGGAGGCGGAGGTTGCAGTAAGCCGAGATCACTCCACTGCACTCTAGCCTGGGCGACAGAGCAAGACTCCGTCTCAAAACAAAAAACTCCTGACTTCAAGCGATACACCAGCCTAGGCCTCCCAAAGTACTGGGATTACAGGCAGGAGCCACCATACCCAGCCCACTAACCTATGTTTCAAGGTGCCCTGTTCATCCGGAAAATGTGTTAGAATAAATTCATAAGAAATGAGTGGCTGGGCACAGTGGCTCATGCCTGTAATCCCAGGACTTTGGCAGGCCAAGGCAGGTGGATCATGAGGCCAGGAGTTTAAGACCAGCCGGAACAACATGATGAAACCCCATTTCTCCTAAAAATACAAGAATTAGCTGGGCGTGGTGGCACATGGCTGTAATCCCAGCATTTTGGAAGATGGATGTCACTTGAGGTCAGGAGTTCGAGACCAGCCCAGCCAACACGGTGAAACCCCGGCTCTACTAAATATACCAAAAATTAGCTGGGTGTGGTGGATTGCCCGAGGTCAGGAGTTTGAGACCACCCTGGCCACCAGCATGGCGTAACCCTGTCTCTACTAGAAATACAAAATACTAGAAATACAAAAATACAGGTGGGTGCCTGTAATCCCAGCTACTTGGGAGGTTGACGGAGAAGAATCACTTGAACCCGGGAGGCAGAGGTTGCAGTGAACCAAGATTGTGGCACTGCACTCCAGCCTAGGAGACAGAGCAAGACTATATCTTGAGAAAAAAAGAAAGAAATTAGTGACCCAAATCTTTAATTCACCCAATATTCCCCCTCACCCTGCATCCCATTATTCTCAGGCAAAAAGAAAAGAGGGTAATTGCAACGGTTAGTAATGATAGCAGCCACTATTGAATGCATGGGCTTGGTTTCATTCAACCTTCCAATACCTGTAAGATGTACAGCATCCTATTCAACTAAGATCCCATTAAGCAGCCTAAGATTGTATCAGTAGAGCCAGAGCAATCAATTTTTTTTCTGTCCTCGAGATGGAGTTTTGCTCTGTTGCCCAGGCTGGAGTGCAATGGCGTGATCTTGGCTCACTGCTACCTCTGCCTCCTAGGTTCAAGCAATTCTCTTGCATCAGCCTCCATGAGTAGCTGGGATTACAGGCACGCGCCACCATGCCCAGCTAATGTTTTTGTATTTTTAGTAGACGTGGGGTTTCACCATGTTGGCCAGGCTGGTCTTGAACTCCTGACCTTGTGATCCACCTGCCTTGGCCTCCCAAAGTGCTGGGATTACAGGCATGAGCTACCGCACCCAGCCAAGATTTTTTTTTTTTTTTTTGAGACAGTCTCACACTGTTGCCCAGACTGGAGTGCGGTGGTGTGATCTCAGCTCACTGCAACCTCCGCCTCTCAGGTTCAAATGATGCTCCTGCCTCAGCCTCCTGAGTAGCTGGGACTACAGGCGTGCGCCAACATGCCCAGCTAATTTTTGTATTATTAGTAGAGACAGAGTTTCACCATGTTGACCAGGCCGGTCTTGAACTCCTGACCTCAAGTGATCCACCCACCTCGGCCTCCCAGGCGTGAGCCACTGCGCCTGGCCCAGGGCAATAATTTGAGGCCAATGACCACCTACTACACCAGTGTGGCCAAGTGAGGCTTCATGGAACCCCATGATGCATGTAGGTTCTCATCGCCTGGGCAGCCACTGGACAGCTTCCCAAGGGGAGAGCTCTCAAACCAGAGGACTAACAGAAAAGGGGCAACTTGATGTTCCTGAAGGGTTCTTGCTTGAAAAATGTCAATAGCTGGTATTCTGAATCATCATACAGGAGAAGCATGAACCATGAGTGAATGATCTCTGATAGAAGATAAAGATTCTGGGCTGGGCACGGTGGCTCATGCCTCACTTTGGGAGGCCGACGGCGGGGTGGGGTGGGGGTGGGGGGGTAGATCACCTGAGGTCATGAGTTCGAGACCAGCCTGGCCAATGTGGTAAAACTCCATCTCTACTAATAATACAAAAATTAACCAGGTGTGGTGGTGTGCACCTGTAATCCCAGCTACTCAGGAGGCTGAGGCAGGAGAATCACTTGAACCTGGGAGGTGGAGGCTGCAGTGACCTGAGATCATACCAACGCACTCCAGCCTGGGTGACAGAGCGAGACTCCATCTCAAAAAGAAAAAAGAAAAAGAAAAAACCAAAACCAAAACCAAAACATAAGGACTCTGGCTGGGCATGGTGGCTCATGCCTATAATCCCAGCACTTTGGGAGCCTGAGGAGGGCAGGTCACCTGAGGTCATGAGTTCGAGACCAGCCTGGCAATGTGGCGAAACCAGCTCCACTAAATGCACAAAAATTAGCCGGGCGTGGTGGCGGGTGCCTGTAATCCCAGCAACTTGGGAGGCTGAGGCAGCAGAATTACTTGAACCCAGGAGACAGAGGTTGCAGTGAGCCAAGATCGTGCCATTGCACTTTGGCCTGGGCAACAGAGCAAGACTTCATAAAAAAAAAAAAAAAGATGATAAAGATTCTGGGAGTTTCTTTGGATTCAGGGTCCTCACGTATGGTTGTCCAGGGTGTTTACTGTTCAAGGCAAGTAGAAACTCAAGTTCAGCCCATGCTGCATCCTGGGTCATCTGCCCTTAGTACTGTTTCTAGTCAGAATAACGAACTTTTTCTTATTTACACAAAATTGCCACATAAGCTTGTGGTAGCTTATGTTTGTATGATGAAGGATTTTAATGATTAAGAGATATACCCGAGATATCGCAGGTTACATTCTGGATGTCTCAAGACCTCACACAATGCGGGAAACATATCATCCTGGTCATTGCCTTGAAGGGTCAGATACGTTACAGTCTTGTGACCTCGAAGAGCTAGGCAGAGGTTCCGATGAGCATCAGCTGGGGAAATGTTTTTGAACCTAGGGAAAAGAGAACGAAAGTGAAATCTTTAGTGTGTACACCTGTATCGTACTTAAATGGAAACCAGGGGCTCGATATATTTAAACTTTAGGAACTATTTTTTCCATGTTTAAATTTTTGTCCATCTTTACAGATTTTTTTTTTCTTTGAGATGGAGTCTCACTCTGTTGCCCAGGCTGGAGTGCAGTGGCGCGATCTCGGCTCACTGCAAAGCAAACTCTGCCTCCCGGATTCAAGCGACTCCTACCCTCAGCATCCGGAGTAGCTGGGATTATAGGCACCTGCCACGACACCTGGCAAATTTTTGTATTTTTCGTAGAGACAGGGTCTTGCACCATCTTGGCCAGGCTGGTCTTGAACTCCTGACCTCAAGTGATCCCCCCACCTTGGGCCCCCAAAGTGCTGGGACTACAGGCGTGAGCCATTGTGCCCGGCCCTTTTTTTCTTTTTCTTTTTTTTTTTTTTTTTTTTTGAGACGCAGTCTCGCTCTGTCACTCAGACTGGAGTCCAGTGGCAGGATCTTGGTTCACTGCAACCTCCGCCTCCTGGGTTCAAGTAATTCTCCTGCCTCAGCCTCCCAAGTAGCTGATATTACAGGTGCCTGCCACCACGCCTGGATAATTTTTGTATTTTTAGTAGAGGCAGGGTTTTGTCACGTTGGCCAGGCTGGTCTCGAACTCCTGACCTCAAGTGATCTGTCTGCCTCGGCCTCCCGAAGTGTTGGAATTACAAGTGTGAACCACCATGCCCAGCCCCTAGAAATTACTTTATACGATTATCCCACAAAATAAATTTAAGGACAGGACTCTCTCAATTCCCTGTGTCTCGAGCACTTAAGAGTCTAGTACAGGAATCTGAATATTGCTCCGATGTTAACATTGTACCATTTTCATACCCTAAGGATTTGAGTTCATGAATTAGTTTCTACTTACACCACTCTCTGGAGATGACAGGTGTCAGAGGCTATTTGTTCACACAGGATCCTTACTAGGGAGGCACTGAGAAAGCTATCATTGATTGCTAGACCCATCAGATCCTTATTTGATCCAAATATGGAACAAAGGTCCGTCCAGAAAGGAAGCATGTGCTGATCATCCTGGGATCTATAGGGAAGAGAAGAAAGGGTTACACCAAATGTGTGTCCATCACGGCTGAAGTATTTAGGGTTTCTCTGGGCATATACCCCTGACAAATGAGTACAATTGAAAGCTGGACCATGTAATCACTTATTAGCACCACCATCAGACAACTCAACACCCAAGAAGCATCACAGGAGAAAGAACCTATTCTTCTTAGACAAAAATCCAATAGAGGGTAAAAATAAGTTAAAATGCTAAGCACATCATTGATAAAAGATAGAGAATATAGACCGGGCACGGTGACTCACGCCTATAATCCTAGCACTTTGTGAGGCTGAGGCGGGTGGATCACCTGAGGTCGGGAGTTCGAGACCTGCCTGGCCAACATGGTGAAACCCCGTCTCTACTAAAAGTACAAAAATTAGCTGGGCATGGTCGTGGGTGGCTGTAATCCCAGCTACTCATGAGGCTGAGGCAGGAGAATCATTGAACCTGGTGGGGCGGAGGTTGCAGTGAGCCGAGATCGAGCCACTTCACTCCGACCTGGGAAAAAGAGTGAAACTCCGTCTCAAAAAAAAAAAAAAAGATTGGGAATATACATATCTATACATATCAATAAGAAATATTCAGGCAGGGCGTGTGGTAACTCATGCCTGTAATCTCAGTGCTTTGGGAGTTCAAGACCAGCCTGGACAACATAGTGAGATTTTGTCTTTCCAAAAAAAAAAAAAAAAAAAAAAACACAAAAAAAAACCCCCACTTAAGTTAGCTGGACATGATGGTGCACACTTAATACCTGTCATCCCAGGTACTCAGGAACATCACTTGAACCCAGAAGTTTGAGGATGCAGTGAGCTGATTTCACCACTGTACTCCAGCCTGAGCAACACAGCAAGACCCTGTCTTAAAAAAATATATTTGGGCCGGGCATGGTGAATCATGCCTGTAATCCCACTTTGGAGGCTGAGGCAGGTGGATCACCTGAGGTCAGGCGGAGTTCAAGACCAGACTGGCCAACATGCTGAGATCCCGTCTCTAATGAAAATATAAAAATTAGCCGGGCAAGGTGGCAGGCGCCTGTAGTCCCAGCTACTCAGGAGGCTGAGGCAGAAGAATCACTTGAACCCGGGAGGCGGAGGTTGCAGGGAGCCAAGATCGCGCCACTGCGCTCCAGCCTGAGCGACAGAGCAAGACTCCATCTCAAAACAAAAACAAACAAAGAGTCCAACAAGAGGGAATTCCTGACCCTAAGCCACAGTGCATAGGAGGCTCTGGCCTCTTCCTAAGGGGGCATGGGATGAGGCTAAAGATGGAACGACTGGTAGAGTGAAACGGTTCTCACCTCTCAACCTCGGCGTCTGATTCAGACGCAGTGACATTCTCCGGGAGATTCTCCTTTATTACCTGCAGTGACATTTTCTGCAGGTTTCGACAGTGCTTGACGCAGAATGAAGATGGCACAACGTCTACTGCATTTAAGTGCAGGGATATTTCTTTGAACTGAGCCATCACCTCCTTCACCAGCTCCTCCTCCTGAGACTCGTACAGACAGCCGAGGAGCTCCTGCAGGTCTGTCACCGTTGAATGTCCACCCTTACAACTTATGTCGCATCGCAGCAATTCCTGTTTGATGTCCGGTGACATCCGGCAGCCAAAAGTGGCCTCCAACTCCTTGGCTCTCTTCTCGTTAGCGAGGCCAAAGGAGTAGTAGCCTGCTTGGATCAGGTCGGGGTTCCTGAGTCTTTCTACTCCGGAAAGCAGCTTCTGTACGTCCCCAATGTCCCAGGTGTGGCCGTCCCTATCCTCTTCCTCCTCCTTCTCCAGGGTGTAGAACAGGGCAGTGAGAAACTGCTGGAAGCTGAGGTGGATGAAGGAGTAGCAGCCTTTGGAGACTCTGTCCTGGCGGAGGATGTCTCCGTCCAGGAACAGACGGAGGTCGGACTCCTGCACCCCGAGCCTTTCCAGATCCTCTCGGTGAAGCACGGACGTCTGCGCCCACAGGCCCTGCGCGGCCAGGAGGCTCAGCGTCCGCAGCGCGCCCCGCAGCTGTGCGCCCTGCGGGAACCGGCTGCAGAGGAAACGCAGGAACAGCCCCGTGCGGGTGAGGCAGGTGGGGACCGGGTCCTCCCCCTTCTCCATCTGCAGCTTCAGAGTCGTGCACACGATCCAGCACACCGCGGGGGCCGAGCCCAGCTGGAACAGGGCCGCGTTGCTCCTCATTAGCTCAAAGGCACGCATGGCTTGGTCCTCGTCTCCAAAGTGTCTCAGGAAATAGGCCCTCCTGTCCTCCTCCAGGAAGCCCTCCACCCTTATGTAGATCGGCTCCTCCGCCAGGATCCGGAGGTCCCTCAGGGCCCTGGGCCGCGTGGTGACCAGCAGGGCGGCCTTGGGTAACATCACCCTGTTCAGCAAACTCCCCAGGAGGACGGGCACCGGCTTCTTCTTCTCCCAGTCCCCGCAGATGTCCTCGATCAGCGCCCCAGGTGCGGCTCCCAGCTCATCAAAGCCGTCAATCACGAACAAGATTTTCCGTGCTTGGGCTAGGATGTGTGGAATGTCATCCTGCAATTCAGGCCAGTCCCTGAAGACCAGCTCTGCAAAACTGCACGGGCCCAGGCGGCTGAGCTCCCTGCAGCTGAGGTAGAACGCATATTTGAATTTGTGGATGAGGTTGTCCTCTGCCCAGTCTAGCATTAGTTTCTGGGCCAGCGTGGTTTTCCCAAGGCCTGCAGGACCATACAGCACCACCGTGTATGAGAAGGGCCCGGGAAGCACCCTGGGGTTGCTGAATGGGATCAGCATCTTGTATCTCTCAGCCATAACCTGGACCTCTTTGCTATCTCCAGGCCAGCTCTTCCACATCTCCCGGAACTTCGTCTTCAATATATACCTGCACCTATTGTCTTTGTCTTTATCATTGGTGAGGAGGGAAGGGAGAGAGGATGCAATCAGTTACCCATAGGGAAAACCAAAATAACAAAATGCCTTGTGTTGGCCGGGCACAGTGGCTCATGCCTGTAATCCCAGCCCTTTGGGAGGTCGAGGCAGGCAGATCACCTGACATTGGGAGTTCAACACCAGCCTGACCAACATGAAGAAACCTTGTCTCTACTAAAAATAAAAAATTAGCCAGTCATGGTGGCGCATGCCTGTAATCCCAGCTACTCGGGAGGCTGAGGCAGGAGAATTGCTTGAACCTGGGAGGCGGAGGTTGCAGTGAGTCGAGATCACGCCACGGCACTCCAGCCTGGGCAACAAGAGCAAAACTCCGTCTCGATACATACATACATAAATAAATGCTTTGTGTTACATAGGAAAGTTAAGAGGACTTCAAGTTTATAAAGAGAAATCTGATCCCAAGCTCCCTGCAGGAAGATATGGTACAGACCTGGCTTTTTTCCTTTAAAGACTTCTTTACCCAGGCAGATGACATTTCCTTTCGTTTCTGTAAACGCTACAAAATACAAACTCATGTGAGATTGACACAAAATCAGGTGTATTTCCTGTGGAGTCCCAATTAGAGAAAAGGAGGCAGGCTGATGGGGCGGGGGGGAGGGGGGGCACGGGATCAGATAAAGCAAATAAGCTACAAATGTGTTTTCCGGCCAGGTGTGGTGGCTCATGCCTATAATCCCAGAACTTTGGGAGGCTGAGGTGGGGTGGATCACTTGAGCTCAGGAGTTCGAGACCAGCCTGGCCAACACAGAAACCCCATCTCTACTAAAAATGCAAAAATTAGCCAGGCGTGGTGGCGCATGCCTGTAATCTCAGCTACTTGGGAGGCCAAGAGGCTCGAGAATTGCTTGAACCTGGGAGATGGAGGTTGTAGTAAGAGATCGCACTACTGCACTCCACCCTGGGCAACAGAGCAAGACTCCATCTCAATAAAATAAATAAATAAGCTTTCCTCCATGGTTCAGGGCATACAAACAAGAGGAAACAGGTCAGCTATAGGTCTGTTTGAGACAGTCTCACTCTGTTGCCCAGGCTGGAGTGCAGTGGCGCAATCTCAGCTCACTGCAACCTCCGCCTCCCGGGTTCAAGCGATTCTCCTGCCTCAGCTTCCCAAGTAACTGGAATTACAGGCATGTGCCACTGCGTCTAGGCTAATTTTTGTATTTTTAGTAGAGATGGGGTTTCGCCATGTTGGCCAGGCCAGTCTAAAACTGCTGACCTCAGATGATCCACCCACCTCAGCCTCCCAAAGTGCTGGGATTGCAGGCATGAACCACTGCACTGGGCCAGGTCTGCTTTTATGGTCCAGGAGATACGGCCCAAGATGTTTGGCCTTCCTGGCCAGATCACACACAGAGCTCACAAACTCCCTGTTTGCCATGAAACGCCTCAGTTTATCAAACACTTCTGCTGAAAGAAGACCGCAAGTTAAACCCCCTGTTGACATTATCAATCAGCCCAAGCCCTATTCTATAAAATCTGCAGGAAGCTTTGGTCTCCTGGCAGTGAGCTACTCATGACAACCTGCCCGCTGGGGTCTCTCTGCCAATGTCTTTTCCTACTTTCTCCAATAAATCTGCCTTCCTTTACCTACGATTGTCTTCATAAATTTCTTTACCCGCGGCTGGGCGCGGTGGCTCACGCCTGTAATCCCAGCACTTTGGGAGGCCAAGGCGGGTGGATCATAAGGTCAGGAGATCGAGACCATCCTGGCTAACACGGTGAAACCCTGTCTCTACTACAAATACAAAAAATTAGCCGGGCGTGTGGCGGGCGCCTGTAGTCCCAGCTACTGGGGAGGCTGAGGCAGAATGGCGTGAACCCGGGAGATGGAGCTTGCAGTGAGCCGAGATTGCGCCACTGCACTCCAGCTTGGGTGACAGAGCAAGACTGTCTCAAAAAAAAAAACAAAACAAAACATTTCTTTACCTGCCATGCCACCAGGCACTATTCACCCACATTTCCTGCTGAAGCATGATGATAGAGCAGGCACCACAGTACCCCAAGTCGCACCGAAATTCTTTGTCAAGATTGTGTGCTAGGCTGGGCACAGTGGCTCACGCCTGTCATCCCAGCACTTTGGGAGGCTGAGGCGGACGGATCACGAGGTTAGGAGATCCAGACCATCCTGACTAACACGGTGAAACCCTGTCTCTACTAAAATACAAAAAATTAGCTGGGCGTGGTGGCACACACCTGTACTCCCAGCTATTTGGGAGGCTGAGGCAGGAGAATCGCTTGAACCTGGGTAGCAGAGGTTGCAGTGGGCCAAGATTGCACCACTGCACTCCAGTCTGGGCAACAGAGTGAGACTCCATCTCAAGAAAAAAAAAGATTGTGTGCCAGGAATGACATTGGCCGTGTCTAGAGAGATGAACAGGGCAAACAATTCCTTCAACCAAGTTACTCACCTCTATTATACAGAGCCATAGCAAGAAATACTTGCTGTATCAAAAGTCAATGTGGGCTAGGTACGGTGGCTCATGCCTGTAATCCCAGCACTTTGGGAGGCCGAAGTGGGTGGATCACCTGAGGTCAGGAGTTCAAGACCAGCCTGCCCAACATGGTGAAACCCTGTCTACTAAAAATAAAACTAACAAATGCAAAAATTAGCCAGATGTGGTGGTGGGCGCCTATGATCCCAGCTACTCGGGAGGCTGAGGCAGAATCACTTGAACCTGGGAGGTGGAGGTTGTGGCGAGCCGAGATCACACCATTGCACTCTAGCCTGGGCGACAAGGGCAAAACTCTTTCTCAAGAAAAAACAAAAATGCTACCAGGAAGATAAGAGGGAATGTGGAGTAAGCAAGGCTGATCTGAAACTGATCACAGGCTAGGTGCGGTGGTTCACAGCTGTAATCCCAGCACTTTAGGAGACCGAGGTAGGTGGATCACTTGAGGTCAGGAGTTCTAGACCAACCTGGCTACCCTGTTGAAACCCCATCTGTACTAAAAACACAAAAGTTAGCCAGGCATAGTGGTGGGCACCTATAGTCCCAGCACCTGGGGAGGCTGTGGCAGGAAGACCCCTTGAACCCAGGAGGCAGAGATTGCAGTGAGCCAAGATGGGGCCACTGCACTCCAGCCTGCATGACAGAGTGAGACTCTATTTCAAAAACAAAAAAAACAGAAAAAACCTATCACAAAGTCAGCTCAGGCAAGTCACCTACCCAAAAGACTCAATTTTCTCTGTAAGTTGTTTATATTAAAGTTGTCTGAGCAATGTACCATAAATACATTTATGCCTGTCAATTTTTTTTTTTTTTTTTTAAGATGGAGTCTCGCACTGTTGCCAGGCTGGAGTGCAGTGGCACAATCTTGGCTCACTGCAACCTCCACCTCCCGGGTTCAAGCGATTCTCCTGCCTCAGCCTCCTGAGTAGCTGGGACTACAGGCGGGTGCCACCACACCCGGCTAATTTTTGTGTTTTTAGTAGAGTTGGGTTTCACCATGTTGGCCAGGATGGTCTCGATCTCTTGATCCACCCGCCTCAGCCTCCCAAAGTGCTGGGAGATTATAGGTGAGAGCCACCACACCTGGCCACCTGTCAACTTTTAAATAATTTAAAGAAGGCCGGGTACGGTGGCTCTCGCCTGTAATCCCAGCACTTCGGGAGACTTGGGGGTGGGTGGAGCAGATCTCTTGAGGTCAGGAGTTTGAGACCACCCTGAATGAGATGGTGAAACCTGTCTCTACTAAAAGTACAAAAAAAAATTAGCTGGGCGTGGTGGCATGCACCTGTAGTCCCAGCTACTCAGGAGGCTGAGACAGGACAATCACTTGAATCTGGGAGGCGGAGGTTGCAGTGAACAGGGATGGTGCCACTATACTCCAGCCTGGGTGACAAGAACAAGACTTCGTCTCAAAAAAAAAAAAAAAAATTAGCTGGGTGTGGTGGCAGGTGCCTATAATCCCAGCTACTCAGGAGGCTGAGTCAGGAGAATCAGGAGAATCGCTTGAACCTGGGAGGTGGAGGTTACAGTGAGCCGAGATCGCGCCATTGCATTCCAACCTGGCCAACAGAGAAACTGTCTCAAAACAAAAACAAAAACAAAAACTCTCTGCGCTGTGCTCCTAACTTTCTACAAACTGAGTTCTAATTCTCTGCAACGTTCGTTCTTCCCTCTATTCTTACGGAAGGGAGGTTGGCATTCTCCAGGAGACAGTGGGCACATTAAGAATAGTGGAGGAAAAGATTGGAGAGAGATGGGGTTCTTCAAAGGAACAGGAGATAGCAGCAAGAACGGGGGGCTTCCTCAGCTGACTCCAACATTGGAGGTCCTGACACCCACCTTGTGCTTCTGTTTTGAAGCGCTCCAGCATTTCGTCCACGTCTAGAGGTGGTCGTTCTTTCCGTGTTATCCCTGGAGAAAAAGGGCGGCATTACAGGCCTGTTGCTGTGCTGGCAGTGGGACTCCAAGATGGCTCAAGTTGGACCCCTGAGTCTCAGTAGTGAAGCCTAGATTAGGTACTAAAAAGGACGTTGATAAGGTACTGGATGTAAAAGTGAAAGTACATTAGGCCATGATCCCAGGTTTATGTGCCTTTCTGGTGAGAATTCCTAAGTAGTTCAGAACACATGGTGTGAAAGACACACACACACACACACACACACACACACACACACAAACTACTCACGCATAAGGCCACTGGAAAGGCTTTGAGGATTAACTGCCTAGTTTTTCTTTTTTTTTGAGATGTAGTTTTGCTCTTGTTGCCCAGGCTGGAATGCAATGGTGTGATGTCGGCTCACTGCAACCTCCGCCTCCTGGGTTCAAGTGATTCTCCTGCCTCGGCCTCCGGAGTAGCTGGGATTACAGGAATGTGCCACCATACCTGGCTAATTTTGTATTTTTAGTACAGACAGGGTTTCTCTACGTTGGTCAGGCTGGTCTCGAACTCCCAACCTCAGGTGATCTGCCTGCCAGGCCTAACCCCCTAGTTTCTGATGAGGTAGATAAATTTAAAATGAACTGGGAAAGAATGTAAGAACAAGGTGGAATCAGCCGGGCATGGTGGCTCATGCCTGTAACCCAACACTTTGGGAGGCCAAGGCAGGCGGATCATGAGGTCAGGAGATCGAGACCATCCCGGCCAACATGGTGAAGCCCCGTCTCTACTAAAACAAAAAATTAGCCGGGCATGGTGGTGTGTTACCTGTAAGTCCCAGCTACTTGCGAGGCTGAGGCAAGGGAATTGCTTGAACCCAGGAGGCGGAGATTGCAGTGAGCCAAGATCGCTCCACTGCACTTCAGCCTGGCAAAAGAGCAAGCGAGACTCCGTATCAAAAAAAAAAAAAAAAAGAGAGAGAACAAGGTGGAATCCTAATAACAATATCTGCAGCTTAACCCTGGATAATGAAGAGGTGAGTCCATGGAACTCCTGAAAAGATGCTGGGGAGGGAACTGGACACGGGCATGTGAAATTCAGGACAAAGGCTGATCTGAGAAGAGCCTTTAGAGTCTTCACCACCAGGTGAGGTGGCTCATGCCTGTAATCCCAGTACTTTGTGAGGCTGAGGCAGACAGTTCATTTGAGGTCAGCAGTTTGAGACCAGCCTGGCCAACATGGTGAAACCCTGTCTCTACTAAAAATACAAAAATTAGCCAGACGTGGTGGTAGGCGCCTGTAATCCCAGCTACTTGGGAGGCTAAGGCAGGAGAATCACTTGAACCTGGGAGGCGGAGGCTGCAGTGAGATTGTACCACTGCACTCCAGCCTGGGTGACAGAGCAAGACTCTGTCTCAAAAAAGGTCTTCATGAGACCAGGCGCAGTGACTCACACCTGTAATCCCAACACTTTGGGAGGCTGAGGCACGTGGATCACGAGGTCAGGAGTTCAAGACCAGCCTGGCCAACATGGTGAAACCCCATCTCTACTAAAATTACAAAAATTAGCTGGGCTTGGTGGCAGACACCTATAATCCCAGCTACTCGGGAGGCTGAGGCAAGAGAATCACTTGAACCGGGAGGCGGAGGTCAGAGGTTGCAGTGAGCTGAGATCATGCCACTGCATTCCATCCTGGGCAACAGAGTGAGACTTTGTCCAAAAAAAAAAAGTCTTCATGGCCAGGTGTGGTGAATCATGTCTGTAATCCCAGCACTTTGGGAGGCCAAGGTGGGAGGATCACTTGAGACCAGGAGTTTGACACCATATCTGGCAACATAGTGAAACTGTCCCTACCAAAAATACAAATATTAGTCAGGTGTGGCAGTGCACACCTGTAGTCCCAGCTACTCAGGAGGCTGAGGTAAGAGGATCTCTGGAGCCTGGAAGGTTGAGGCTGCAATGAGCTATGACTGTGCCACTGCAATCAAGCCGGAGCAACACAGCAAGACCCCATCTCAAAACACAATCTTCAGGGGCCGGGCGCGGTGGCTCACGCCTGTAATCCCAGCACTTTGGGAGGCCGAGGCGGGCGGATCACAAGGTCAGGAGATCGAGACCATCCTGGCTAACACGGTGAAACCCCGTCTCTACTAAAAACACAAAAAAATTAGCCAGGCGTGGTGGTGGGCGCCTGTAGTCCCAGCTACTCGGGAGGCTGAGGCAGGAGAATGGCATGAACCCGGGAGGCGGAGCTTGCAGTGAGCCGAGATCACGCCACTGCACTCCAGCCTGGGCAACAGAGAGAGACTCTATCTCAAAAAAAAAAAAAATAATAATAATCTTCAGGATATAAGTAGCTGGTAAGGGCCAGGTGTCATGGCTCACACCTGTACCCCAGCAGTTTGGGAGGGTGAGGCAGGAGGACTGATTGAGTTTAGTAATTCGAGGCCAGCCTGGGCAACATAGCAAGACCCTGTCTCTACAAAAAGTGAAAAAAATTAGCCAGGCATGGTGGCAAGTGCCTGTGGTCCCAGCTACTCAGGAGGCTGAGGCAGGAGGATCACCAGAGCTTGGGAGGTCAAGGCTGCAGTGAACCATGATTGCACCACTCCAGCCTAAGTGACAGAGTGAAGCCCTGTTTCAAAAAAAAAAAAAAAAAAAAAAAAAAAAAAAAAAAAACAAAACCGGGTGTGGTGGTGGCTCATGCCCATAATCCCAGCATTTTGGGACGCTGAGGTGGGCAGATCACTTGAGGTCAGGAGTTCAAGACCAGCCTGGCCATCATGGTGAAACCCCATCTCTACAAACACCACAAAAAATTAGCCGGGCCTGGTGGCAGGTACCTGTAATCCCAGCTATTCTAGAGGCTGAGGCAGGAGAACTGCTTGAACCCAGGAGGTAGAGGTTGCAGTCAGCCGAGGTCGTACCACTGCACTTCAGCCTAGGTGACAGAGCAAGCCTCCATCTCAAAAAAGAAAAGTCTCTACCTTATCCAGATTCAAAGGCCAAGCTTACCCTTCCCCGCTTTGTATGTATTTATAGATTTCCAACAAACGCGATCGTGTTTCAGCTTCCCAGGTCTTACTGCTACGCACCTGCGAGACCAGCTCCGCCCTGGGAGCAGGGATGCTAAGTCCGGCATTTCTTTGCATTCTTAGTGCTCAGCACATTCTCCTTAAAACAAAGGCCCGAGTCCCCAGATCTCACATGAAGAATAAAAGTTATAAATGAGGTAACTTACCTAATGATAGAGGCTTCCTTTTATTAAAGGATTTCAAAGCTGCTTCTGAAAAAGGAGAAGGGGGGAAAATTTTGCATTTTACCATAAGCTCAAGATTTTATTGCCTTCATAAAAGAAAAGATGACACTTAGAACTGGATCACTTGTTCCTTTCTCTTATCTCCTTCCAGTTCAAAATGCTTGCATCTTTTTTTTTTGAGACAGAGTGTCACTCTGTTGCCCAGGCTGGAGTGGCACAATCTTGGCTCACTGCAACCTCTGCCTCCCAGGTTCAAGCGATTCTCCTGCCTCAGCTTCCTGAGTAGCTGGGACTATAGGCATACACCACCATGCCCAGCTAAGTTTTGTATTTTTAGTAGAGATGGGGTTTCACCATTTTGGCCAGGCTGGTCTCAGACTCCTGACCTTGTGATCCGCCCACCTCGGCCTCCCAAAGTGTTGGGATTACAGGCGTGAGCCACCGCGCTTGGCTGCTTGTATCTTTTAATAGCCAGCATTCTTAGATCTGCAGTTGGGCTCAAGGCACTCAAGCCTTAGCACAATCTTCTTTGTAGTTTTAGCCTTTTTCCGGAAAATCGGCTTAGTCTGCCCACCATAGCCACTCTGCTTCCTGTCATAACACTACTTCCCCTGGGCATACCAAGAATCCTTGCCTTGTGTCACTTTGTGGGGGTGGTGCTTGCCACACTTCTTACAGAAAGTCCGGCGGGTTTCAGGAACATTCACCATGTCTGTGTGAGCGCTATTGGCATGGAAAGAAAATTTGTATCTTTTTCAGAGCCCAGACCTTCGTAAGTTTACAACTCTCTGGGTTTCCTCCTGCCGTTTTCAAACTTGTAACCTCCGGAGGTCAGCTAAAGTTAAAAACCCTTGGCCGGGCATGGTTGCTCACACCTGTAATCCCAGCACTCTGGGAGGCTGAGGTGGGCAGATCACCTGAGGTCGGGAGTTCGAGACCAGTCTGGTCAACATGGTAAAACCCTGTCTCTACTAAAATACAAAAATTAGCGGGCATGGTGGTAGGCGCCTGTAATCCCAGCTACTCTGGAGGCTGAGGCAGGAGAATCACTTAAACCTGGGAGGAGGAGGTCACAGTGAGCCGAGATCGCGCCATTGCACTCTAGCCTGGGAGACAAGAGTGAAACTTCGACTCAAAAGCAAAACCAAAATCCAAACCAAACCAAAAAAAAAAAAAAAAAAACCCTCACCCATTGTTAAAGACAGGAAACATTATGCTAAAAAGTGATCTCTAGCTGAAATAAAACTGGCAATTTTTAAATAAAAAGATAGGAGTTCCTTAAGGTTGAGGAGTATTCCATTGTGTAATTAATACCATGTTTGTTTGTTTTTTTTTTTTGAGATGGAGTCTTGCTGTCACCCAGGCTGGAGCGCAGTGGCACGATCTTGGCTCACTGCAACCTCTGACTCTCTGGTTCAAGCAATCCTCCTGCCTCAGCCTCCCAAGTAGCTGGGACTACAGGAGTGTGCCACCACGCCCGGCTGATTTTTTTATATTTTTAGTAGAGACAGGGTTTCACCACATTGGCCTGACTGGTCTCAAACTCCTGGCCTCAAGTGATCCACCCGCCTTGGCCTCCCAAAGTGCTGTGATTACAGGCGTGAGCCACTGTGCCCGGCCTACCATGTTTCCTTTTTAAGGCTTGGGGTCCCAACAATCTCATAACCCAGGCAGTAGGCAGGGTACCCAACGGGCACATTTTTTATTCATCCACTGATGGTCACTTAGACTGACTCTATATCTTGGTTACTGTAAATAAAGCTGCACTGGCCAGGCACTGTGGCTCATGTTTCTGATCCCAGGACTGTGGGAAGCCAAGGCAGGAGGATCGGTTGAGCCCACAGAAGTTCGAGACCAGCCTGGGCAACATGGTGAAACCCTATCTCTACAAAAATATATATATATACAAGAATGAGCGAGGTGTGGTGGGAGGCCATAGTGGTAGGATTGCTCAAGTCTGGGAGGTCAAGGCTGCAGTGAGCTGTGATTGCCCCATTGTACTCCAGCCTGAGCAAGAAAACGAGACCCCGTTTCAAAAAAAAGTGTAGCTGGGCATGGCGGCTCACACCTGTAATTCCAGCACATTGGGAGGCTGAGGCGGGTTGATCACGTGGTCAGGAGTTCAAGACCAGCCTGGCCAACATAGTGAAACCCCATCTCTATTAAAATACAAAATTTAGCCAGGCACAGTGGCAGGTGCCTGTATAATCCTAGCTATTCAAGAGGCTGATGCAGGAGAAACACTTGAACCCAGGGGGCGGGAGTTGCAATAAGCTGAGATTGTGCTGCTGCACTCCATCCTGGGTGACAGAGTGAGACTTGTCTCAAACAAACAAAAAAAAAAGTTATGGGGTAGAAAGTAGAGTAGTTCTAAATGCACTTGCTGGCTGGGTGCGGTGGCTCACGCCTGTAATCCCAACACTTTGGGAGGCCGAGGCGGGCAGATCATGAGGTCACGACATCGAGACTATCCTGGCTAACATGGTGAAACCCCATCTCTATTTAGAATACAAAAAAAAAAAAAAAAAAAATCAGCCAGGCATGGTGGGACATGCTTGTAATCCCGGCTACTCGGGAGGCTGAGGCAGGAGAATCGCTTGAACCCGGGAGGCGGAGGTTGCAGTGAGCCGAGATCGTGCTGCTAAATTCCAGCCTGGGTGACAGAGTGAGATCCTCTCTCAAGAAGAGTTAAATAACCATAGTTCATGTGCATTTTATTGTATTGTTATTTTTAATTGTCTTTGCCCCCATTATTTTTGATCTAGGATTGGTTAAATCCACAGATATGTTAGGCCAACTGTACGATACCTGAAAGCGATAGAAATAGGTAGAAAATAATTTACAAGAAAAAAACAAACAACCCCATCAAAAAGTGGGCGAACGACATGAACAGACACTTCTCAAAAGAAGACATTTATGCAGCCAAAAAACACATGAAAAAATGCTCATCATCACTGGCCATCAGAGAAATGCAAATCAAAACCACTATGAGATATCATCTCACACCAGTTAGAATGGCGATCATTAAAAAGTCAGGAAACAACAGGTGCTGGAGAGGATGTGGAGAAATAGGAACACTTTCACACTGTTGGTGGGACTGTAAACTAGTTCAACCATTGTGGAAGTCGGTGTGGGGATTCCTCAGGGATCTAGAACTAGAAATACCATTTGACCCAGCCATCCCATTACTGGGTATATACCCAAATGACTATAAATCATGCTGCTATAAAGACACATGCACACGTATGTTTATTGCAGCATTATTCACAATAGCAAAGACTTGGAACCAACCCAAATGTCCAACAATGATAGACTGGATTAAGAAAATGTGGCACATATATACCATGGAATACAATGCAGCCATAAAAAATGATGAGTTCATGTCCTTTGTAGGGACATGGATGAAATTGGAAACCATCATTCTCAGTAAACTATCACAAGAACAAAAAACCAAACACCGCATATTCTCACTCATAGGTGGGAATTGAACAATGAGATCACATGGACACAGGAAGGGGAACATCACACTCTGGGGACTGTGGTGGGGTGGGGGGAGGGGGGAGGGATAGCATTGGGAGATATACCTAATGCTAGATGACGAGTTAGTGGGTGCAGCGCACCAGCATGGCACATGTATACATATGTAACTAACCTGCACAATGTGCACATGTACCCTAAAACTTAAAGTATAATAAAAAAAATAATAATAATAAAATA
The DNA here is from genome assembly GCF_000001405.40 of Homo sapiens. Taxonomy (NCBI): domain Eukaryota; kingdom Metazoa; phylum Chordata; class Mammalia; order Primates; family Hominidae; genus Homo; species Homo sapiens. The sequence goes on along the minus strand of NW_003571061.2, from coordinate 682,970 downwards.
AAAAATAAAAAAATAAAAGGACAAAAAAAAAAAAAAAAAGAAGTAGGTAGAAAATAAGGACCAGGACAGACACCAGGGTTTATGAAGATCCAGCACCTGCATTCAGAACAAGCAGTCCCTCTCCAAGCCTCAATGCCATTTCTTTTTTTTTTTGAGACAGAATTTTGCTCTTGTTGCCCAGGCTGGGGTGCAATGGCGTGATCTCGGCTCATAGCAACCCCCGCCTCCTAGATTTAAGTGATTCTCCTGCCTCAGCCTCCCGGAGTAGCTGGGATTACAGGTGTCTGCCACCACGTCCAGCAAATTTTTGTATTTTTAGTAGAGATGCTGTTTCATCACCATGTTGGTCAGGCTGGTCTCAAACTCCTGACCCTCAGGTGGTCCAACCGCCTCAGCCTCCCAAAGGGCTGGGACGACAGGCGTGAGCCAGCGCGCCTGGCCTTCTGAATTTCTAAAGTCCTGGAGAGGACGCCTGCTTCCTCCTAGGACACAGTGTGGACCGATTTCCACTCACCTCTGACTTCATCCTTTGCTCTCTCAGACAGATCCATTCGGTGCATCTTTTCAAAGACCTGGAGGCTCGCCATCTCCACCCAGTAGCTGTCACAATGGGTGGTGAGGATTTCTACCAGTTGCTTCCCATCAGCCTTGTCTACCTCCTTGTGGGGGATCTTCTGGAGCTCGTGTGCCAGGGAGAAGGTCGTGATCAGATACTTGAACTTGCTCAACTCATCCTGGCTGAGCTGCTCCAGGAGAGCCTGCAGGTTGAAGCCCATCTGCGCCGAAGACACCATCTTGTCCCACGTGGGAGCTGTGATGACAATCAAGGGAGGAGTGGAGAGGGATGGTGATTAGCACTCCTGTCTCAAATGCCAGTTCCTGCTGTGCCACGAACAAGGACACTCACCATCTACCCTGCTTCTTCAAGAACAAACTCCCAGCCTGGGCAACATAGTGAGACCCCCATCTCCATGAAAAATAAGTTAGCAGTGGGTGGTGGTACATGCCTGTAGTCCCAGCTACTCAGGAGGCTGCAGTGGGAGGATTGCTTGAGCCTGGGAGACTGAAACTGCAGTGAGCCTTGATTGTGCCACTGCACTCCCATCTGGGCAACAGAGCAAGACCTCAACTCATTTTACTTTTATTTACTTATTTTTGAGATAGTTTCACTCTGCAGCCCAGGCTGGAGTACAGTAGTACGATCTCAGCTCACTGCAACCTCTGCCTCCCAGGTTCAAACAGTTCTCCTGCCTCAGCCTCCCGACTAGCTGGGATTATGGGCACCCACCACCACGCTCAGCTACTTTTTGTATTTTTTTTTTTTTTTTTTTTGAGACGGAGTCTCACTTTGTCACCCTGGCTGGAGTGCAGTGCTGCAATCTCGGCTCACTACAACCTCTGCCTCCCGGATTCAAGCAATTCTCCTGCCTCAGCCTCCCAAGTAGCTGGGATTACAGGCATTCACCACTGTGCCCAGCTAATTTTTTTGTATTTTTAGTAGAGATGGGGGGTTTCACCAAGTTGGCCAGGCTGGTCTCGAACTCCTGACCTCGTGATTCACCTGCCTCAGTGCCCAGCTAGTTTTTCTAATTGCAAAATAACCAGCTACTGTCAGGGTTTTCCCTGAGGGGCTGCTCAGGTTCTAAAAGTTAACCTATAAAGCGAAAACACTCTCTCATTATAGCAAAGTAGTAACACAACAATGAAAGGACAAGCATAGATCAGATAAGGAAGTGGGGAGCTACGTGGATCACCCAGGAGACAAGAAACTTCGTGAAAACTGGGCTGAATATGATAATGCAAACACACAGCCGGGCGCGGTGGCTCACGCCTGCAATCCCAGCACTTTGGGAGGCCGAGGCGGGCGGATCGTGAGGTCAGGAGATCGAGACCATCCTGGCTAACACAGTGAAACCCCGTCTCTACTAAAAATACAAAAAATTAGCCGGGCGTGGTGGCAGGTGCCTGTAGTTCCAGCTACTTGGGAGGCTGAGGCAGGAGAATCGCTTGAACCTGGGAGTGGGAGGCAGAGGTTGTGGTGAGCTGACATGGCGCCACTGCACTCCAGCCTGGGGCGACAAGAGTGAAACTGTCTCAAAAAAAAAAAAGGCTTAAAGATAACTTAGTGGTGGAGCCTGGTCTCAGGACACAGGTGTGTGGCTTTTACTTTACTGAAGCTGGCCGGGGGGCCATGGCTCACACCTGGAACCCCAAACACTTTGGGAAGCCAAGGTGGGAGGATTGCTTGGAGTTTGAGACCAGCCTGGGCAACATGGCAAAACCCTGTCTCTACAAAAAAATACAAAAAAAAAAAAAATTGTGCTGGGCATAGTGGCATGCACCTGTAGTCCCAGCTACTGAGGAGGCTGAGGTGGGAGGATCACCTGAGCCAGGGAAGTTAAGGCTGCAGTGAGCTGTGATCGCACCACTGCACTCCAGCCTGGTAAAACAAACAAAAACACAACACTGGGGGTGGTGGCTGACGCTTGCAATCCCCGCACTTTGGGAAGCTCAGGTGGGTGATCACTCCAGTCCAGAAGTTCCAGACCAGCCTGGCAACTTAAGACCCTGTCTCTATTTTAAAAACAACAGGGCCGGGTGCGGTGGCTCACGCCTGTAATCACAGCACTTTGGGAGTCCAAGGTGGGAGGATCACCTGAGGTCTGGAGCTTGAGACCAGCCTGGCCAACATAGTGAAACCCTATATCGACTAAAAATACGAAAATTAGCCAGGTTGGTGACAGGCGGCTGTAGTCCCAGCTACTTAGAAGGCTGAGGCACGAGAATTGCTTGAACCTGGGAGGTGGAAGTTGCAGTGAGCTGAGATAGCGCCACTGTACTCCAGCCTGGGAAACAGAGCTAGACTTTGTCTCAAAAAAAAAAAAAAAAAAATAGCAGTAGCAACAAAAACTTTACAGAAAGGGTATAACACCTCTTTATATGATAGCTGTGAATAGCGTGAGAATGGCAACTGGCATAGGTATTTGCATAAGACTCAGGTCCGGAAGCTGGACTAGAATGATGCTAAGAGGCTCCCTCACCTCAGTGAATAAAAAACAATACCTTCTTGTTAAGAGGACTCATTAGACACAAAACCTTAGCACTGCCCAGGACTCCACACACAGCAACCACAGCATCTGACCTGTTCCAATATATTTTTTTTTTTGGAGCTCTCTATAGCTCTATCCTAAATCCCCCAAGAGAACAGAAATAAAAGCACACACAACTATCCTCTTATGAGCCAACCTTAACTAGAGTCTCTCTAGATCTAAGCATCTGCTACTCTTTCCCCAGTCAGAACCACTGAATTTTATTTTATTTTATTTTTTGAGACAGTTTCTCTCTTGCTGCGCAGGCTGGAGAGCAATGGTATGATCTAGGCTCCCCGCAACCTCCGCTTCCCGGGTTCAAGTGATTCTCCTGCCTCAGCCTCCTGAGTAGCTAGGATTACAAGTATGCGCTACCACGCCCACCTAATTTTATATTTTTAGTAGAGATGGGGTTTCTACATGTTGGTCAGGCTGGTCTCGAACTCCCGACCTCAGGTGATCCTCCCGCCTCGGCCTCCCAAAGCGCTGCGATTACAGGCGTGAGCCACTGAGACAGGCAGAACCACTTAATTTCTAACAGAAGAAAAGATTTAGGCCGGGCGCGGTGGCACCTGCCTATAATCCCAGAATTTTGGGAGTCTGAGGCAGGAAGATCGCTTGAGCCCAGGAGTTAGAGACCAGCTTCGGCAACATATTAAGACCCTACATCTAGTGAGTCTCTGCAAACAGTGGTAATAATAATATTATTAGCCAGAACAGATGTGGTGGCACCCTCCCACGGTCCCAGCTACTTCAAAGGCTGAGGCGTGAGGACTGCTTGAACCTGAGAGGTCAAGGGTTCAGTGAGCCGAGATCCTGCCACAGCGCTCCAGCCTGGGAAACAGAGTAAGACCCTCAAAAAAGAGAAGAAAAAAAAAAAAAAAAAAAAAAAAAAGGCTGGGCGCGGTGGCTCACGCCTGTAATCCCGGCACCTTGGGAGGCCGAGGCGGACTGAGACCAGCCTGGCCAACATGGTGAAACCCCGTCTCTACTAAAAATACAAAAAAATTAGCTGGGCATAGTGGCAGGTGCCTGTAGTCTCAGCTACTCGGGAGGCTGAGGCAGGAGAATGGCCTGAACCCGGGAGGCGGAGCTTGCAGTGAGCCGAGATCGCGCCACCGCACTCCAGCCTGGGCGACAGAGCGAGACTCCGTCTCAGAAAAAAAATATATGAAATAAAAGGAGAAATTTTACCAACTGTGGAATGGAGAAATAAAGAAATGAAGTTGCAGAGCTGCCGGAGAGCTACTCACCTCCCAACACCTGGCCCTACTCGCCGGCGGAGATGAGGGCTGCAGGTTGAGAAAGCTCTAATAAGGCTTCTCTCTCGGCCGCAGCCCTGTGATTGGCCCTCGGGGCGTAATCGTTGCTGAGCACTTCCTGTATCCACCGGAATTACTGAGAGGTCTTTTGGGGGCGGGGGGTGTTGGGGGGCGGTCCTTCACCTGAGCTTCCGGATCTCCACCTGTGGTCCTCCATCTTGACTGCCTGTTAAACTTACCTATGTGGAGCCTCATTTCAAAGCACGAACGCCTAGAGATTCTGCTTGATTGGTTACACTGGGACTGCCCAGACCCTGGAGTTCTTTCGAGAGTCCCAGATAACTGTGATTGCGGCCGAGGCTGAGAATCACCGCTTAGAAGCCTCAGCTGTGATTGGCTACCTTCTCCCATCACCCCAGGTATATTATTAATAAAAATCCAACCGTATTTCAAGTGAAATATCAATGACACGTCAACTATGAGACGCATGAAAAGCACCAAGTTCATCAGTTTCACATTCACAGTATTATTATTATTTTATTTTTAATGGAGTCTTGCTCTGTTCCCCAGGCTGGAGTGCAACGGCACGATCTCGGCTCCCCGCAGCCTCCGCCTGCCGGCTTCAAGTGATTCCCCTGCCTCAGCCTCCCGAGTAGCTGAGATTACAAGCATGCGCCACAACGCCTGGTTAATTTTTGTATTTTTTTCAATAGAGACGGGGTTTTGCCATGCTGGCCAGGCTGGTCTCAAACTCCCGACCTCAGGTGATCTGCCAGCCTCAGCCTCCTAAAGTGCTGGGATTACAGGCGTGAGCCACCTACTAAAAATACAAAAAATTAGCCGGGCGTGGTGGCGGGCGCCTGTAGTCCCAGCTACTCGGGAGGCTGAGGCAGGAGAATGGCGTGAACCCGGGAGGCGGAGCTTGCAGTGAGCAGAGATCGCGCCACTGCACTCCAGCCTGGGCGACAGAGCGAGACTCCGTCTCAGAAAAAAAATATATGAAATAAAAGGAGAAATTTTACCAACTGTGGAATGGAGAAATAAAGAAATGAAGTTGCAGAGCTGCCGGAGAGCTACTCACCTCCCAACACCTGGCCCTACTCGCCGGCGGAGATGAGGGCTGCAGGTTGAGAAAGCTCTATTAAGGCTTCTTTCTCGGCCGCAGCCCTGTGATTGGCCCTCGGGGCGTAATCGTTGCTGAGCACTTCCTGTATCCACCGGAATTACTGAGAGGTCTTTTGGGGGCGGGGGGTGTTGGGGGGCGGTCCTTCACCTGAGCTTCCCGATCTCCACCTGTGGTCCTCCATCTTGACTGCCTGTTAAACTTACCTATGTGGAGCCTCATTTCAAAGCACGAACGCCTAGAGATTCTGCTTGATTGGTTACACTGGGACTGCCCAGACCCTGGAGTTCTTTCGAGAGTCCCAGATAATTGTGATTGCGGCCGAGGCTGAGAATCACCGCTTAGAAGCCTCAGCTGTGATTGGCTACCTTCTCCCATCACCCCAGGTATATTATTAATAAAAATCCAACCGTATTTCAAGTGAAATATCAATGACACGTCAACTATGAGACGCATGAAAAGCACCAAGTTCATCAGTTTCACATTCACAGTATTATTATTATTTTATTTTTAATGGAGTCTTGCTCTGTTCCCCAGGCTGGAGTGCAACGGCACGATCTCGGCTCCCCGCAGCCTCCGCCTGCCGGCTTCAAGTGATTCCCCTGCCTCAGCCTCCCGAGTAGCTGAGATTACAAGCATGCGCCACAACGCCTGGTTAATTTTTGTATTTTTTTCAATAGAGACGGGGTTTTGCCATGCTGGCCAGGCTGGTCTCAAACTCCTGACCTCAGGTGATCTGCCAGCCTCAGCCTCCTAAAGTGCTGGGATTACAGGCGTGAGCCACCGTGCCTGGCTGGCAGTATTAATTTTGTAAACATATAGCCGGGCACAGTGGCTCACGCCTGTAATCCCAGCACTTTGGGAGGCCGAGGCAGGTGGATCACGAGGTCAGGAGATCGAGACCATCCTGGCTAACACGGTGAAACCCCGTCTCTACTAAAAATACAAAAAATTAGCCGGGCGTGGTGGCGGGCACCTGTAGTCCCAGCTACTCGGGAGGCTGAGGCAGGAGAATGGCGTGAACCCGGGAGGCGGAGCTTGCAGTGAGCCGAGATCGCGCCACTGCACTCCAGCCTGGGCGACAGAGCAAGGCTCCATCTCAAAAAAAAAAAAAAAAAAAAAAACACCATATAAATAAGACTAAAAAGTTGGGTTTTGGCCGGGCGCGGTGGCTCACGCCTGTAATTCCAGCACTTTGGGAGGCCAAGGCGGGTGGATCACGAGGTCAGGACTTCAAGACCAGCCTGGCCAAGATGATGAAACCCCGTCTCAACTAAAAATACAAAAAATTAGTCGGGCGTGGTGGCGGGTGCCTGTAATCCCAGCTACTTGGGAGGCTGAAGCAGAGAATTGCTTGAACCCAGGAGGCGGAGGTTGCAGTGAGCCGAGACCGCACCACTGCACTCCACCCTGGGCGACAGAGTGAGACTCCGTCTCAAAAAAAAAAAGAAAAAAGTTGGGTTTTATAGCTTTTTTTCATGTTTCTTTGTTTGTTTTGCTTTTTTTTTTTCTGAGACTGAGTCTGGCACTGTCGCCCGGGCTGGAGTGCAGTGGCGCAATCTTGGCTCACTGCAACCTCCGCCTCCAGAGTTCAAGCGATTCTCCTGCCTCAGCCTCCTGAATAGCTGGGATTACAGGCGCGTGCCACTGTACCCGGCTAATTTTCTTATTTTTAGTAGAGATGGGGTTTCACCATGTTGGACAGGGTGGTCTTGAACTCCCAACCTCAGGTAATCTGCTCACCTCGGCCTCCCAAAGTGCTAGGATTACAGGCATGAGCCACTGCGCCTAGCCTTTTTTTTGTATTTTTAGTAGAGATGGGGTTTCACTATGTTGGCCAGGCTGGTCTCAAACTCTTGACCTCGTGATCCGCCCGCCTCGGCCTCCCAAAGTGCTTGGGTTGCAGGCACGAACCACCGCGCCCAGCCTTTTTCATGTTTTAGAACCAACATATGTATATGTACATCTATATTTCTTTTCGTTTTTTCTTTTTGAGACAGGGTCTCACTCTGTCGCCTAGGCTGGTGTGCAGTGGCACAATCATAGCTTACTGAAGGCTACAGGCATACGCCATCACGCCTGACTAGATTTTTGTATTTTTTATAGAGATGGAGGTCTCACTATGTTGCCCAGGCTGGTCTCAACCCCATGGGCTTAAGCAATCTTCCCACCACGGCCTCCCAAAGTGCTGGGATTTCCGGTGTGAGCCACCATGCTTGACCCTGTGTTTACTTATTAAGTCCTCTAAACATTGCTACACAGTAGTGATTGCCATGATCCTACCCATTTTTCACTTTCCTTGAGAAAATGAAGGCAAGGCATATTTAGAAAACCTGTCTGAGGTCTTGAAGATCACAAACAGCTGTCAGCTTCCGGAAGCCCAGCTCTTCACTGCCGCGCTCAGTTGCCTATCCTAGAAAGAATAAGAAAGTGAGGGGGCCCAGTGTGGTGCCTCACGCCTGTAATCCCAGCACTTTGGGAGGCCGAGGCGGGCGGATCACGAGGTCAGGAGATGGAGACCATCCTGGCTAACACGGTGAAACCCCGTCTCTACTAAAAATACAAAAAATTAGCCGGGCGTGGTGGCGGGCGCCTGTAGTCCCAGCTACTCGGGAGGCTGAGGCAGGAGAATGGCGTGAACCCGGGAGGCGGAGCTTGCAGTGAGCTGAGATCGCGCCACTGCACTCCAGCCTGGGTGACAGAGCAAGACTCTGTCTCAAAAACAAACAAACAAAAAAGAAAGAAAGAAAGAAAAGAAAATGAGGGGCCGGGCGTGGTGATTCATGCCTGTAATCCCAGCACTTTGGGAGGCCGAGGCGGGTGGATCACCTGAGGTCAGGAGTTCGAGATCAGCCTGACCAACATGGTGAAATCCCATCTCTACTAAAAATACACAAAAAATTAGCCAGGCGTAGTGGCAGATGCCTGTAATTCCAGCTATTCTGGAGGCTGAGGCAGGAAAATGGCTGGAACCTGGGAGGCAGAGGTTGCAGTGAGCTGAGATCGTGCCATTGCACTCCAGCCTGGGCAACAAGAGCGAAACTCTGTCTCAAAAAAAAAAAAAAAATTGAGGGATGGAGGGAATAGGAAGGATGAATGAAAATGTGCAGGAGCAGTTTTCAGACTGCACATTTCAATAAATTCTTTTTCATTTTTTCTTTTTTTTTTTTTTGAGATGGAGTTTTGCTCTTGTCGCCCAGGCTGGAGTGCAATGGCGCGATCTCAGCTCACTGCAACCTCTGCCTGCCGGTTTCCTGTGATTCTCCTGCCTCAGACTCCTGTGTAGCTGGGATTACAGGCATGTACCACCACGCCCGGCTAATTTTGTAGTTCTAGTAGAGATGGGGTTTCACCATACCCTTTTGGCCAGGCTGTTCTTGAACTCCTGACCTCAGGTGATCCACCCGCCTCAGCCTCCCAAAGTTCTGGGATTACAGGCATCCACTTCCCCCGACCTTTTTCTACCTTCTTAATATGGACACCCTACCATAATTTGGAGGTACTTTTTTTTTTGTTTCCTTTTTGAGACAGACTCTCGCTCTGTTGCCCAGGCTGGAGTGCAGTGGTGTGGTCTCGGCTCACTGCAACCTCTGCCTCCGGGGCTCAAGCAATTCTCTTGCCTCAGCCTCCTACAGGCACCTGCCACCATGCCAGGCTAATTTTTAGTACAGATAGGTTTTCACCATGCTGGCCAGGCTCTTCTTGAACTCCTGATCTGAGATCCACCTGCCTCGGCTTCCCAAAGTGCTGGGATTACAGGTGTGAACCACCACGCCCAGCCACAGTACCTTTTTTAAAAAATTTGTATTTTCTTTTATTTATTTATTTATTTATTTAGAGATGAAGTCTCTCTGTTGTTGCCCAGGCTGGAGTGCAGTGGCATGATCTTGGCTCACTGCAACCTCTGCCTCCCGGGTTCAAGTGATTCTCCTGCCCTAGCTGGGATTATAGGCTCCCGCCACCATACCAAGCTAATTTTGTATTTTTAGTAGACACGGGGTTTCACCACCTTGGCCGGGCTGGTCTTGGACTCCTGACCTCGGGTGATCCACCTGCTTTGGCCTCCCAAAGTGCTGGAATTACAGGCGTGAGACACTGTGCCTGGCCCACTCCCCCTCTTTTTTAACTAGAGACTGGGTCTCACTTTGTACACCGGGCCGGTCTTGAACTCCTGGGCTCCATGGCCCTCCCGCCTTGGCCTCCCAAAGTACTGAGATTACAGGTGTGAGCCACTATGCCTGGCCCATTATTTTATATTTTAATATAAATATTTACATTTATAAATTTCCATCAGTGCAACAAACACATTTCAACAGCAATTTCACCACCACTCAGTTCTAGCATTTTTAAAAATGCCCTTTGTTATTTCTTCTTTGACCTTGGAATTATATAGAATATTTTTTTAAGACTCAAATGCATGGGATTAAGAAATTATCTTTTGTGCTGGGCATGGTGGCTCACGCCTGTAATCCCAGCACTTTGGGAGGCCGAGGCAAGCGGATCACGAGGTCAGGAGATCGAGACCATCCTGGCTAACACGGTGAAACCCCGTCTCTACTAAAAATTAAAAAAATTAGCTGGGCACGGTGGCGGGTGCCTGTAGTCCCAGCTACTTGGGAGGCTGAGGCAGGAGAATGGCGTGAATCCGGGAGGCGGAGCTTGCAGTGAGCCACCATCACACCACTGCACTCCAGCCTAGGTGACAGAGCAAGACTCCATCTCAAAAAATAAAAATAAAAATAAAAATAAAACTATCTTTTGTTACAATTCTTCTAACTTTTGTTCTATTGAGGAAATTGAGACTGAAATGTTAAGTAGCAACCCCAAGGTCACATAACTCATGGGTGGCTGGGGAGAAGGATGGATTTAAACAGACTTCTGGTTGAGCGCGGTGGCTTAAGGCTGTAATCCCAGCACTTTGGGAGGCTGAGATGGGTGGATCACTTGAGGTCAGGAGCTCGAGACTAGCCTGGCCAACATGGTGAAATCCCGTCTCTACTAAAAATACAAAAGTTAGCTGGGTGTGGCGGCAGGCACCTGTAATCCCAGCTACCCAGGAGGCTGAGGGAGGAGAATTGCTTGAACCCGGGAAGCAGAGGTTGCAGTGAGCTGAGATCTCGCCACTGCACTCCAGCCTGGGTGATAGAGGGAGACAACATCTCAAAAAACAAAACGAAAGAAACAAACAAACAAAAAAAACAAGAAACACCAGACTTCTGTTGGAATAAGTGAGTTTGGTTCGGGTAGATGGAACCTGCAAAGGGGTTTGGAGATCCAAAAGAGGAACTACGTGGTTAGAACAGAGTATCGGATGAACTGATAAGAAACCACAATTCAAAAACAATTCAACAAAATGCCCAGGTCTGTGAAAGCCTGTCTACACCAGGCCTTGGGTCTCTGTGTACATTGCCTGCTTCTGACAAGGCTCTGCAGCCGGGAGTCGGCTCCCAGGGTTGCATGGCTGGGAACAACAGAAGCTCAGGAGCGGACCTAAAACGGAGCAGTTGGGTAAAATGAAGCTGTCTCCATTTACTTTCTACAGACAGACATCCATGAGAGGATGAGGAGGTGTGCTTGCCTCCTGGTCAAGCACTAATTTTTTTTTCCAAGCACTAATTTTAATTTTTTTATTTTTTGTAGAAACAGGGTCTCAGAGTATTTGCTTTGGCAGCACATACACTAAAATTGGAAATGGGGGTCTTGCTATGTTGCCCAGGCTGGACTTGAGCTCCTGGGCTCAAGGGATCCTCCCACCTCAACCTCCTAAAGTGCTATCCACTCTGACCTTGTGATCCACCTGCCTCAGCCTCCCAAAGTGCTGGTGAGGGAAGAGAGAAACCGTCTCATATTGTTTTATATTGTTTTATACTCAGTACTTGTTTTAGAAAAAAAACAAGGAGGCCGGGCACGGTGGCTCACGCCTGTAATCCCAGCACTTTGGGAGGCCAAGGCGGGTGGATCACAAGGTCAGGAGTTTGAGACCAGCCTGGCCAACATGGTGAAACCCCGTCTCTATTAAAAATACAAAAATTAGCCGGGCATGGTGGCGTGCGCCTGTAATCCCAGCTACTCGGAAGGATGAGGCAGCAGAATTGCTTGAATCCAGGAGGCGGAGCTTGCAGTGAGCCGAGATTGTGCCACTGCACTCCAGCCTTAGCGACAGAGCAAGACTCTGTCTCAAAAAAAAAAAAAAAGAAAAAGAAAAAAACAAGGAAGTGAAACCAAAGGCAGGTAGCCCGGCGCCAGGCACCAGACCCAAAACCAGACCCGAAACCAGGCCTGGGCCTGCCTGGCGTAAACCTAGTAGATAAAAATCAACTCATGACTTAGAACCCGATGTTATCCATAGATTCCAGGCATTGTATAGAAGAACACTGTGAAACTCCCTGCCCTATTCTTTCTCTCTGACCAGCAGTGCACGAAACCCCTGTTATGTATCCCCTAGATTGCTCAATCATGACCCTTTCATGCGCAGTCTTTAGTGTTGTGAGCCCTTAAAAGGGACAGAAACTGTGCACTCGAGGAGCTTGGATTTTAAGACAGTAGCTTGCCGATGCTCCCAGCTGAATAAAGCCCTTCCTTCTACAACTCGGTGTCTGAGAGGTTTTTGTCTGTGGCTCGTCCTGCTACACTGGGATTACAGGCGTGAGCCACTGTGCCTGGCCACTAGTTATTATTATTATTATTATTTGAGACAGAGTCTCACTCTGTCCCTTGGGCTGGAGTGCAGTGGCCTGATCTTGACTCACTGCAACCTTTGCCTCCCGGGTTCAAGCGATTCTCCTGCCTCAGCCTCCAGAGTAGCTGGGATTACAGGCATGCACCACTATGCCCAGCTAGCTAACTTTTTGTATTTTTAGTAGAGACAGGGTTTCACCATGTTGGCCAGGCTGGTCTTGAACTCCTGACCTTGTGATTCGCCCACCTCGGCGTCCCAAAGTGCTGGGATTAGAGGCGTGAGCCACTGCACCCGGCAATACTAGTTATTGTTAATGCTATTATTGTTACTGACATGTTCATTTTTACCTAGCCACTTTATTTTCCCACCTCTTTCTCCCTACTTCTCCTAAGTGTCAATGTTAGATAAGTCTGAAATTCTCTTTCCCTGTCCCTCTCTGTCTCTCTCTCCTTCTTTGTCTTTCTTTCACCTGAGACCCATAATCCTGGAGATAGCAAGTGCCTCAGGGAGAAAATCCCAAACCAAGCGATTCTCCTGCCCTAGCCTTCCAAGTAGCTGGGATTACAGGCTCCTGCCACCATACCAAGCTAATTTTGTATTTTTAGTAAAGACACGGTCTCACCACCTTGGCCAGGCTAGTCTCGGACTCCTGACCTCAGGTGATCCACCCACCTGGGCCTCCCAAAGTGCTGGAATTACAGGCGTGAGACACCGTGCCCGGCCCCCTCCCCATCTTTTTTAAATAGAGACTGGGTCTCACTTTGTACACCGGGCCAGTCTTGAACTCTTGGGCTCCATGGCCCTCCAGTGTGGAGGAGAGAAAATGGATTCCCTCCACCCTCCTAGGTTCTTTGGATGGGCTATGAATTACATTGACACAAAACAGTTTGACAGAAGAAAAACCAGATTCAATTATGTATGCACAGGAGTCCCACAAAAATGTGAGACTGGAGGAAGGGCCAGATGATTGAAGCTCATCTAGCTGCCTGAGCTACAGAAAGGAGTATAAGAGTGTAGGGTGCAGTGGCTCACGCCTGTGATCCCAGCAGTTTGGGAGGCCAAGGTGGGTGGATCACCTGAGGTCAGGAGTTTGAGACCAGCCTGGCCAACATGGTGAAACCCCATCTCTGCTAAAAATACAAAAATTAGCTGGTGTGGTGGTGTGTGCCTGTAATCCCAGCTACTCCGGAGGCTGAGGCAGGAGAATCACTTGAACCCGGGAGGAGGAAACTGCAGTGAGCTAAGATCGCACCATTGTACTCCAGCCTGGGCTTCAAAGGGAGACTCCATCTCAAAAAAAAAAAAAAAAAGAAGAAGAAGAAGAAAGGAGTAGGGGTGTCCGTCCCAGTGGCTCACGGTCTGTAATCTCAACACTTTGGGAACCGAAATGGGTGGATCACCTGACGTCGGGAGTTTGAGACTAGCCTGGACAACAGGGTGAAACCCAGTCTCCACTAAAAATACAAAAATTAGCCAGGTGTGGTGGTGTGCCCTGTAATCCCAGCTACTTGGGAGGCTGAGACAGGAGGATTACTTGAACCCGGGAGGTGGAGGTTGCAGTGGGCCAAGATCACGCCACTGCACTGCAGCCTGGGAGATAGAGGGAGACCCTGTCTCAAAATAAAATAAATAAATAAATAAATAAATACATACATACATAAATGAAAAGGCGTAGAGACTTGGAGCTTCTGGGGGTGGTGGAGGCAAATTAAGGTATGATAAAAGGGGGAAAAGTTGCTGGGTTCACGCCTGTAATTCCAGCACTTTGGGAGGCCAAGGCAGGTGGATCACCAGAGGACAGGAGTTCGAGACAAGCCTGGCCAACATGGTGAAACCCCGTTTCTACTAAAAATGCAAAAAATTAGAAGGCGTGGTGTTGGGTGTCAGTGATCCACCTGCCTCGGCCTCCCAAAGTGCTGATATTATAGGCGTGAGCCACTGCGCCCGGCCTTTTTTTTTTTTTGAGGGAGAGTCTTGCTCTGTCTCCCAGGCTGGAGTGCAAAGGCACAATCTCAGCTCACTGCAACCTCCGCCTCCCGGGTTCAAGTGATTCTCCTGCCTCAGCCTCCCGAGTAGCTGGTATTACAGGCACCTGCCACCGCGCCCAGCTAATTTTTGTATTTTTTTTTAGTAGAGATGGGGTTTTGCCATGTTCACCAGGGTGGTCTCAAAGTCCTGACCTCAAGTGATCCGCCTGCCTTGGCCTCCCAAAATCCTGGAATGACAGGCATGAACCACCATACCCAGTCCTGTTTTTCCTACTTTCACACTCAACACAGAATACTTCACCAAAAATGTATGTTTCTCCCCACCAACAACCAGTTCTCCAGCAGAGACCAGCTGGGTGTCCTCTCCTTTGATTTAGTTCTGACACTCCCTACCTGGGGACAGCATCAGATCCCAAAGGTTCAGGGCTGAGTCCCACAAGACTGACTGACTTCCTTCCTTCCTTCCTTGTCCCACAAGACTGACTTCCTTTCCCTCCTTCCCTTCCCTCCTTCCCTCCTTCCCTCCTTCCTTCCTTTCTCTCCCTCTGTTGCCCAGGCTGGAGTGCAGTTGCGAGATCATGGCTCACTGTAGCCATGACCTCCCAGTCTCAAGTGATCCTCCTGCCTTGGCCTCCTGAGTAGCTGGGACTACAGGCATGCACGATCACAGTTGGCTATTTATTTATTTATTTATTTATTTTTGAGACACAGTCTTGCTCTGTCATCCAGGCTGGAGTGCAGTCCTGTCATCTAGGCTGGAGTGCATTTTTGCAATACAAAAATTAGCCAGGCATGGGAGCGAATGTCTATAATCCCAGCTACTTGGGAGGCTGAGGCTCGACAATCCCTTGAACCCAGGAGGTTGAGGATCACAGCTCACTGCAACCTCAGTCTTGCTGTGTCGCCCAGGCTGAAGTGCAGTGGCACGATCTTGGCTCACTGCAACCTACGACTCCGGGATTCACGTCATTCTCCTGCCTCAGCCTCCCGAGTAGCTGGGACCACAGGCGCCCACGACCTCCTGGCTAACTTTTGTATTTTTTGTAGAGATGGGGTTTCGCCATGTTAGTCAGGCTGGTCTGACCTCAAATGATTCACCCACCTCAGCTTCCCAACATGCTGGGCTTACAGCCACTGTGCTCAGTCGAAATTCTGTATATTTGATCAAGAAGAGGTTTCATCATGTTGTCCAGGCTGGTCTGGAACTCTTGAACTCAAGCAATCCACCTACCTGGGCTGCCCAAAGTTCGGGGATTCCAGGCATGTGCCACCATGCCTGGCCCAAGGCTGCTCTTCCTAAAGAAGAAAATTATTCCAATGATTTTATTTATTTATTTTTGAGACGGAGTTTCACTCTTGTTGCCCAGGCTGGAGTGCAATGGCATGATCTTGGCTCACTGCAACCTCTGCCACCCGGGTTCAAGTGATTCTCCTGCCTCAGCCTCCTGAGTAGCTGGGATTACAGGCACGCACCACCACACCCAGCTAATTTTTTTGTATTTTAGTAGAGACGGGGTTTCTCCATGTTGGTCAGGCTGGTCTCAAACTTCGGACCTCAGGTGATCCGCCAGCCTTGGCCTCCCAAAGTGCTGGGATTGCAGGCGTGAGCCACCGCGCCCGGCCACCAATGATATTTTTTAAAAGCAAGTAAGGACGAGCTGGGCATGGTGGGTTCTTGAATCTCATACCAGAAAGAATTCAGGGCGAGACTATGGAGTAAAGTGGAAGCAAGCTTATTAGGAAAGTGAAGGAGTAAAAGAATAGCTACTCCATAGACAGCAGCCCATAGGGCTGCTAGTTGCCCTTATTTTTTTTGAGATGGAGTTTTGCTCTTGTCGCCCAGGCTGGAGTGCAGTGGCGTGATCTTGGCTCACTGAAACCTCTGCCTTGAATCACTTCAGTTCAAGTGATTCTCCTGCCTCAGCCTCCTGAGTAGCTGGGATTACAGGTGCCTGCCATCACGTCTGGCTAATTTTTGTATTTTTAGTAAGAGATGGGGTTTCACCATGTTGGCCAGGCTGATCTTGACCTCCTGAGCTCAGGTGATATGCCCGCCTCGGCCTCCCAAAGTGTTGGGATTACAGGCGTAAGCCACCACGTCCGGCCTCGGTTGCCCTTTTTTTTTTTTTTTTTTTTTTTTGAGACGGAGTCTCGCTCTTTCACCAGGCCAGAGTGCAGTGGCACTATCTCGGCTCACTGCAAGCTCCGCCTCCTGGGTTCAGGCCATTCTCCTGCCTCAGCCTCCCGAGTAGCTGGGACTACAGGCGCCCGCCACCGCACCCAGCTAATTAGTTGTATTTTTTTTTAGTAGAGATGGGATTTCACCGTGTTAGCCAGGATGGTCTCAATCTCCTGACCTCATGATCCACCCGCCTCGGCCTCCCAAAGTGCTGGGATTACAGGCGTGACCACCGCGCCCGGCCGGTTGCCCATTTTTATGGTTATTTCTATGGATATGCTAAACAAGGGGTGGATTATTCATGCCTCCCCTTTTTAGACAGCATAGGGTAACTTCCTGACATTGCCATGGCATTTGTAAACTGTCATGGGGCTGCTGGGAGTGGAGCGGTGAGGACAACCAGAGGTTACTCTCGTCACTATCTTGGTTTTGATGGAGTTTGACTGGATGCTTTATTTATTTTTATTTATTTTTTATTTTTTTGAGACGGAGTCTCGCTCTGTCACCCAGGCTGGAGTGCAGTGGCGCGATCTCCGCTCACTGCAAGCTCCATCACCCGGGTTCACGCCGTTCTCCTGCCTCAGCCTCCCGAGTAGCTGGGACTACAGGCGCCCGCCACCACGCCCAGCTAATTTTTTGTATTTTTTTTTTTTAGTAGAGATGGTTTCACCGTGTTAGCCAGGATGGTCTCAATCTCCTGACCGTGTGATCCACCCGCCTCAGCCCCCGAAAGTGCTGGGATTACAGGTGTGAGCCACCGCGCCCGGCCTGGCTGGATTCTTTATTGCTAAGGGAGGAGACCACCCCTCATATTGTCTTATGCCCAATTTCCACCTCCAAAGAAAGAAAAAGTAAAAACTAAAAGGCAGAAATGAAATCCACAAGCAGACAGCCCCGCGCCCCAGGAATGAAATCCACAAGCAGACAGCCCCGCGGCCCAGGAATGAAATCCACAAGCAGACAGCCCGGCGCCACACCCTGGGCCTGGTAGTTAAAGATTGACCCCTGACCTAATCGGTTATCTATAGATTACAGACATTGTATAGAAAAGCACTGTGAAAATCCCTATCCTGTTTTGTTTGGATCTGATTACCAGTGCATGCAGCCCCCAGTCACGTACCCCCTGCTTGCTCAGTCGATCACGACCCTCTCACGCACACCCCCTTAGAGTTGTGAGCCCTTAAAAGGGACAGGAATTGCTCACTTGGGGATCTCGGCTCTTGAGACGGGAGTCTTGCCGATGCCCCTGGCCGGATAAACCCCTTTCTTCTTTAACTCGGTGTCTGAGGAGTTTTGTCTGTGGCTGGTCCTGCTACATTGCTACCTGTGTTATCAGCAAGGTCCTTATGACCTGTATCTTGTGCTGACTTATCTCATCCTGTGACTTAGAATGCTTTTTTTTTTCTTTTTACTGCAACCTCCGCCTCCCCGGCTCAAGCGATTCTCCTGCCTCAGCCTCGCAAGTAGGTGGGATTACAGGCACGAGCCACCACGCCTGACTAATTTTTGTATTTTCAGTAGAGACGGGGTTTCACCGTGTTGGCCAGGCTGGTCTCAAACTCTACTTCGGGTAATCCACCCGCCTCGGCCTCCCAAAGTGCTGGGCCACCGTGCCTGTCATTTTTGTTTTTTTTGGAGAATGCCTTAACTGTCTGGGAATGCAGCCCGGTAGGTCTCAGCCTTATTTTAGTCAGCTCCTATTCAAGATGGAGTTGCCCTGGTTACACGCCTCTGACAGTAGGTCCGTTGCCCAATGCACGCTGTGAGTCAATTTGCCGGGTCACTGTGTTGCAGAAGAGAAGGAAGTTTAATCACAGGGCTGAGGAATGAGGAGATGGGAGGAAACCTCCAATCCATCTCCCCCAGAAGTTTGGGTCTAGGGTTTTTTTTTTTTTTGAGATGGAGTTTTGCTTTGTCACCCAGGCTGGAGTGCAGTGGCAGGATCTTTGCTCACTGCAACCTCCGCCTCCCAGGTTCAAGTAATTCTCTTGCCTCAGCCTCCTGAGTAGCTGGGGTTACAGGCACCCGCTACCACGCCCGACTAATTTTTTGTGTTTTTAGTAGAAACGGGGTTTCACTATGTTGGCCAGGCTGGTCTTGAACTCTTGACCTCAGGTGATTCACCTGCCTTGGCCTCCCAAAGTGCTGGAGTTACAGGTGTGAGCCTCTGCACCCGGCCGGGGCTAGGGTTTTTAAGTGTTTTGGTGTGGGCCAGAGTGTGGCCATGCTGACTGCTGGCGGAGACAGGGGCATGAAGACGCAGTGTTCTCATGCTGATCCCATTCCTCACTGGGGTCTTCAAACTGGTTAGTGTCAGCTATTTGGCTGGAATTCAAGGTCTGAAAAACATCTGAAACCATCCTTAAACAAAAGCCTTATAATTCTAATGTCCCAGAGTTTATCTGTAGGAACCGTGCAGATACAAATTTGTCTAATGGGGCCGGGCGCGGTGGCTCACGCCTGTAATCCCAGCACTTTGGGAGGCCTAGGCGGGAGGATCACGAGGTCAGGAGATCGAGACCATCCTGGCTAACATGGTGAAACCGCGTCTCTACTAAAAATACAAAAAAAATTAGCCAGGCATGGTTGCAGGCACCTGTAGTCCCAGCTATTCGGGAGGCTGAGGCAGGAGAATTGTGTGAACCCGGGAGGCGGAGCTTGCAGTGAGCAGAGATTGCGCCACTGCCCTCCAGCCTGGGCGACAGAGCGAGACTCCGTCTCAAAAAAAAAAAAAAATTCGTCTAATGACCCTGCTGTCAGAAATCCTATCTACAGCAATGATGAGGAGGCAAAAGTGCAGTGTCTAGAGCCACGTGATACACAGCAGCCAGGATGTGGGCCAGAGTGCAGCCTGATTCACATTTTTTCATTTTTATTTTTTTTACTAAAAGTGGGTTTTCATTTTTTGTTTTGTTTTTGTTTTTGTTTTTTGTTTTTTGAGATGGAGTCTCACTCTGTTGCACCCAGGCTGGAGTGCAGTCGTGCGACCTCGGCTCACTGCAACCTCTGCCTCTGCCTCCCGGGTTCAAACAATTCTGCCTCAGCCTCTCGAGTAGCTGGGATTACAGGCGTTGAACTACCATGCCCCGCTAATTTTTGTATTTTTGTAGAGACGCAGTTTCACCATGCTGGCTGGGCTGGTCTCAAACTCCTGACCTTAAGTGATCCATCTGCCTCAGCCTCCCAAAGTGCTGGGATTACAGGCCTGAGCCACTGTGCCTGGTCTACAAAGGATATTTTTGTGGGGAAAAGAAAGAGAGATCAGATTGTAACTGTGTCTGTGTAGAAAGAAGTAGACACAGGAGACTTCATTTTGTTCTGTACTAAGACAAATTCTTCTGCCTTGAGATGCTGTTAATCTATGACCTTACCCCCAACCCTGTGCTCTCTGAAACATGTGCTGTGTCCACTCAGGGTTAAATGGATTAAGGGCTGTGCAAGATGTGCTTTGTTAAACAAATGCTTGAAGGCAGCATGCTCCTTAAGAGTCATCACCACTCCCTAATCTCAAGTACCCAGGGACACAAACACTGCGGAAGGCCGCAGGGACCTCTGCCTAGGAAAGCCAGGTATTGTCCAGGGTTTCTCCCCATGTGATAGCCTGAAATATGGTCTCATGGGAAGGGAAAGACCTGACCGTCCCTCAGCCCGACACCAGTAAAGGGTCTGTGCTGAGGCGGATTAGTAAAAGAGGAAGGAACACCTCTTTGCAGTTGAGACAAGAGGAAGGCATCTGTCTCCTGCTCGTCCCTGGGCAATGGAATGTATGGGTGTAAACCCCGATTGTATATTCCATATACTGAGATAGGGGAAAACCGCCTTAGGGCTGGAGGTGGGACATGCGGGCAGCAATACTGCTCCGTAAGGCATTGAGATGTTTATGTGTATGCATATCTAAAGCACAGCACTTAGTTCTTTACCTTGTCTATGATGCAGAGACCTTTGTTAACGTGTTTATCTGCTGACCTTCCCTCCACTATTATCCTATGACCCTGCCACATCCCCCTCTCTGAGAAACACCCCAAAATGATCAATAAATACTAAGGGAACTCAGAAGCTGGCGGGATCCTCCATATGCTGAATGCTGGTCCCCTGGGTCCCCTTATTTCTTTCTCTATACTTTGTCTGTGTCTCTTTCTTTTCCAAGTCTCTCCTTCCACCTAACGAGAAATGCCCACAGGTGTGGAGGGGCAACCCGCCCTTTCATATTTTAAAGGATACAAATGAACAGCCAAGGAAGAGATGCGTAGGGGGAGGTTTAGAGGAGTCCGAAGTGCAGGAGCTTCTGTCCCTGTGGACCTGGGGTGCACCACAGTCCTGGCACACGAATGCACCCGGGTTCACCAACCAGGAAGCTCTTCTGAACTCTTTCCTGGTTTTTTTTTTTTTTGAGACAGTCTAACTCCGTCACCCAGGCTGGAGTGCAGTGGCGCTATCTCAGCTCACTGCAGCCTCTGTCTCCTGCGTTCAAGTGATTCTCATGCCTCAGCCTCCTGAGTAGCTGGGTCTACAGGTGCACTCCACCACGCCTGGCTAATTTTTTATTTTTTGTAGAGCCAGGGTCTTGCTATTTTGTCCAGACTGGCCTAGAATTCTTGGGCTCAAGCAATCCTCCCATCTAGGCCTCCCAAAGCGTTGGGATTACGGGCATGAGCCACAGGACACCCGGCCCAAACCCTTTTCTTTTGGGGTTTATGGAGGATTCCTTAGGTGGGCAATGCTGATCACATAGCTGGCAGTTCATAATCAATTCAACCTTCAGCCCCTCTCCCCTCCCTGGAGGCCACTTGGAGCCTGGGGCTGAAAGTTCCCAATGTCTAATCACTGACGGTTTCTTTGGCAGCCAGTCCCTCGCACTTGTGGGGTTATCTAGGGGCTTTCCAAAAGTCACCTCATTTACATAAACTCAGGTGTGGTTGCAGGGCCTGGGTATGTATAACAAGAGATACCTCTTTCATGTTTATCTCTCCATAGCTGCTCTAGGACTAAAGGCCAAATGTTTTAACAAAATATACTCTCTCTCTCTTTTTGTCAGCTAGAATATAATTTATTTTTATTGTTTTTATTTTCTTTTTCTTCAGAGAGGGAGTCTCGCCATATTGCCCAGGCTGGTCTTGAACTCCTGGACTCAGGCAGTCCTCCCGCCTCAGCCTCCCAAAGTGCTGGGATTACATTCATGAACCACTGCGCCTGGCCATCTTTTTTTTTTTTTTTTAAAGATGGAGTCTCTGTCGCCCAGGCTGGAGCGCAGTGGTGCAATCTCGGCTCACGGCAACCTCCAACTCCCAGGTTCAATCAATTCTTACGCCTCAGCCTCCTGAGTAGCTGGGATTACAGGTGCACACCACCATGCCTGGCTAATTCTTTATTTTTAGTAGCCAGGGGTTTTTTGCCATGTTGCCCAGGTTGGTCTCGAACTGCTGACCTCAGATGATCCACCTGCCTCAGCCTTCCAAAGTGCAGGGATTACAGGTGTGAGCCACCATGCCAGGCCTCCATAGTGCCTATTTCTATAGATGGCATGCTGCAACTGATATATACATCTTCATTTGTGGGACCATTTGCTTCCATTAAATTAACAGTTTAAACTACCAAAATTCTGTGCTGAATGCTTTCCACAACATACACTGTTTTATTTAAAAACAATTTTAGGCCAGGTGCGGTGGCTCATGCCTGTAATCACCTGACATCAGGAGTTTGAGACCAGCCTGACCAATATGGTGAAACCCTGTCTCTACTAAAAATACAAAAAATTAGTTGGGCATGGTGGCATGTGCCTGCAGTCCCAGCTACTTGGGAAGCTGAGGCATCAGAATTGCTTGAACCTGGAAGGCAGAGGTTGCAAGAATGGAGATTGCACCACTGCACTCCAGCCTGGGCCACAGAGCAAGACTCCATCCAAAAAAAAAAATTAAATATCAGTTATCTATTTATTTTTTTGAGACTGGGTCTCACTCTGTGGCCTAGGCTGGAGTGAGATGGCCAGTCACAGCTCACTGCAGCCTCAAACTCCTGAGCTCAGGTGATCCTCCCACCTCAGCCTCCTGAATAGCTGGGATTACAGGTGCAGCCCATCATGTATGGCTAATTTTTTTGTTTTTGTTTTTGAGACAGTCTTGCTCTTGTCACCCAGGCTGGAGTGCAATGGCGTGATCGTGCCTCACTCACCCTCCACCTCCCTAGTTCAAGTGATTGTCCTGTCTCAGCCTCCCGAGTAGCTGGGATTACAGGCACCTGCCACCACACCTGGCTAATTTTTTGTATGTTTAGTAGAGACAGAGTTTCACCACGTTGGCCAGTCTGGTCTCCAACTCCTGACCTCAGGTGATCCACCCGCCTCGGCTTCCCAAATTGCTGGGACTACAGGCATGAGCTACCACGCCCAGCCTATGCATGGCTAATTATTAAATATTTTTGAAGAGATGGCATCTTGCTATGTTGCCTAGGCTGGTATCAAACTCCTGGCCCCTAGGGATCCACTGGCCTAGGCCTCTCAGCCTGCTGGGATTTATAGGCAGGAGGCACCACAGTTGGCCACAAAGTAGACTTATTGTATTTGTAACTTAGGAAGTCACGGGAGTTTTTGTCCTCTTTTTTTTTAATTTTTATTTATTTTTGTTTAATTTTTTTTCTCTACAAGAGTTTTTAAAGCTGGGAGCCAGGTACCCTGCAAAACCCAAAATGTGTATTTCCTGTTCTGTCGCCTATCACACCTGGCCCGGGTGGTCTAGGAAGGGAATTGCACATTAATCTCACCTGGGGAGATTCAGCAAGCCGTAATTCTCCAAAGCCCACTGAAGCCCAATTACAGCCAAATCCCTGAGGATGGGGCCCAGGTGATGTCAAGGTGAGCCTGAGGTCAGTGGTTGGGAGCCACCCAATGTTAATCTCAGTGGGGCGGTTCCACCCTGGGCGGGAAAGCTGTCTCTCCACCTAGCGTACCAAGGGCCAGAGACCTCCCCTTTTTATCCGTTTCCTTTGCAGGAAACACAGGCTGGAAGCAAGACCTGACCTGAGGGAGGTGAGTGCTGGTTCTTGCATCGATTTCTTTGTCTTCTCGTTTAAGGGAGAAGAAGCTATTGGTTGAGTTTCCACCATAGCCCTTCCCAAGCCTTAATGGTTGGTGCGAGGATGCTGGAAGGATCTTTGATTTTTTTTTTTTTGAGACGGAGTCTCCCTCTGTCGCCCAGGCTGGAGTGCAGTGGCGTGATCTTGGTTCGCTGCAAACTCCGCCTCCTGGGTTCACCCGCCATTCTCCTGCCTCAGCCTCCTGAGTAGCTGGGACTACAGGCACGTGCCACCATGCCCAGCTAATTTTTGTATTTTTAGTAGAGACGGGGTCTCACCATGTTGGCCAGGCTGGTCTTGAACTCCTGACTTTAGGTAATCTGTCTGCCTCGGCCTCCCAAAGTGCTGGGATTCCAGGTGTGAGCCACCACGCCTGGCCTAATGTCTTAAGGACTTCTATTCAAATATAGTTTAGAGGAGTTCAGGAGATTGAGACTAGCCTGGGCAACATGGTAAAACTCTGTCATTACAAAAAAATATAAGGCCAGGCACAGTGGTTCATGCCTGTTATCCCAACACTTTGGGAGGCCGAGGCGGGTGGATCACTTGAGGCCAGAAGTTTGAGACCAGCCTGCCCAAAATGGTGAAACCCTGTCTCTACTAAAAACACAAAAATTAGCCAGGTGTGGTGGTGCATGCCTGTAATCCCAGTTACTTGGAAGGTTGAGGCAGGAGAATAGCTTAAACCTAGGAGGGGGAGGTTGCAATGAGCTGAGATCGCGCCACTGCACTCCAGCCTGGGAGACAGAGTGCGACTCCGTCTCAAAAAACAAAGAAGGCCAGACCTTGTGCTGTGTCCAAGCTACTTGTGGGGTGAGGTGGGAGGATCACCTGAGCCAGGAGGTGGGGGCTGCAATGAGGTGTGATTGAGCCACTGCACTCCAGCCTGGATGAGATGAAGACCCTGTTTAAAAAAAAAAAAAAGTAGGCTGGGCGCGGTGGCTCACGCCTGTAATCCCAGCACTTTCAGATCACCTGAGGCCGGGAGTTTGAGACCAGCCTGACCAACATGGAGAAACCCCATCTCTACTAAAAATACAAAATTAGCTGGGCGTGGTGGCACATGCCTGTAATCCCAGCTACTCGGGAGGCTGAGGCAGGAGAATCACTTGAACCCGGGAGGCGGAGGTTGCGGTGAGCTGAGATTGCGCCACTGCACTCCAGCCTGGGCAACCAGAGTGAAATGCTGCATCAAAAAAAAAAAAAAATGTAAATGGCCAGATGCGGTGGCTCACGCCTGTGATCCCAGCACTTTGGGAGGCCGAGGCGGGTGGATCAGCTGAGGTCAGGAGTTCGAGGCCAGCCTGGCCAACATAGAGAAACCCTGTCTCGGCCGGGCGCGGTGGCTCACGCCTGTAATCCCAGCACTATGGGAGGCCGAGGCGGGCGGATCACGAGGTCAGAAGATCGAGACCATCCTGGCTAACACGGTGAAACCCCATCTCTACTAAAAATACAAAAAAAATTAGCTGGGCATAGTGGCGGGCGCCTGTAGTCCCAGCTACTTGGGAGGCTGAGGCAGGAGAATGGCGTGAACCTGGGAGGCGGAGCTTGCAGTGAGCCCAGATCGCGCCACTGCACTCCAGCCTGGGTGACAGAGCAAGACTCCATCTCAGAAAAAAACAAGAAACCCTGTCTCTACTAAAAATACAAAAACTAGCCCGGCGTGATGCGGTGCGCCTGTAATCCCAGCTTCTTGAGAGGCTGAGGCACTAGAATCACTTGAACCTGGGAGGTGGAGGTTGCAGTGAGTCGAGATTGTGCCACTGCACTCCAGCCTGGGCAACAGAGGGAGACTCCATCTCAAAAAAAAGAAAAAAAGAAAAAAATGTACTTGGGAAAAAAAATACTTGGCCAGGCCTGGTGGCTCATACCTGTAATCCCAGCACTTTGGGAGGCTGAGGTGGGCAGATCACCTGAGGTCAGGAGTTCAAGACCAGCCTGGCCAACATGGTGAAACCCCGTTTGTACTAAAAATACAAAAAAAATTAGGTGTGGTGGGGCATACCTGTAATCCCAGCTACTTGGGAGGCCGAGGCAGGAGAATCGCTTGAACCCGGGAAGAGGAGGTTGTGGTAAGCCTCGCACCATTGCACTCCAGCCTGGGCGACAGAGCAAGACTTTCTGAAAAAGAAAAAAAAAACCCTGAATTTTTCTTTTCTTTTCTTTTTTTTTTTTTTTTTGAGAGGGAGTCTCACTCGCCCAGGCTGGAGTGCAGTGGCGCGATCTTGGCTCACTGCAAGCTCCGCCTCCCAGGTTCAAGCCATTCTCCTGCCTCAGCCTCCCAAGTAGCTGGGACTACAGGCGCCCGCCACCATGCCCGGCTAATTTTTTTTTTGTATTTTTAGTAGAGACGGGGTTTCACCGTGTTAGCCAGGATGGTCTTGAGCTCCTCACCTTGTGATCTGCCCGCCTCGGCCTCCCATAGTGCTGGGATTACAGGCGTGAGCCACCGTGCCTGGCCAAAAAACCCTGAATTTTTCTAAGTACATCAAGCGTTGTCACTGCAAAAACGAAAGGCAACTATATGAAGCAGTGGATATGTTAATTAGCTGGATTGTGGTAATCATTTCACTGTATATATAACATCGCTCCATGCTGTACACTTTGACAAGTAAACGTTGTATATATTACTTTAAAAATACTTAAAAAATAGAGACAAGGTCTCCTTGTGTCGCCCAGGCTGGTCTGGAACTCCTGGGCTCTCATGCTCTTCCTGCTCCATCCTAAAATAGGATATATGTAATTATACCTCACTGAAGGGGTGGCCTGCCCCTCCACACCTGTGGGTGTTTCTTGTCAGGTGGGACGAGAGACTGAGAAAAGAAAGAGACACAGAGACAAAGTACACAGAAAGAAAAGTGGGCTCAGGAGACCCGCGCCGGCCGGGTCTCTGAGTTCCTTCAGTATTTATTGGTCATTATCTCTACCATCTCGGAGACGGGGATGTGGCAGGACAATAGGGTAACAGTGGGGAGAGGGTCAGCAGGAAAACATGTGAGCAAATGTCTGTGTCATAAACAAGGTTAGGAAATGTGCTGTGCCTTGATGTGCTCATACATAAACATATCTGGTGCATTAAAGAGCAGTATTGCTGCCAGCATGTGTCACCTCCAGCCCTAAGGCGGTTTTCCCCTATCTCGGTGGATGGAACATACCATCGGGTTTTACACCGAGACATTCCATTGCCCAGGGACGAGCAGGAGACAGATACCTTCCTCTTAACTGCAAAAAGGCCTTCCTCTTATACTAATCCTCTTCAGCACAGACCCTTTACGGGTGTCGGGCTGGGGTACGGTCTGGTCTTTCCCTTCCCACGAGGCCTTATCTCAGGCTATCACATGGGGAGAAACTTTGGACAATACCTGGCTTTTCTAGGCAGAGGTCCCTGCAGCCTTCCGCAGTGTATTGTGTCCCTGGGTGCTTGAGATTAGAGAGTGGTGATGACTTTTAACAAGCATGCTGCCTTCAAGCATCTGTTTAACAAAGCACATCCTGCATAGCCCTAAACCCACGTGTGACACAGCACATGTTTCTGGGAGCACAGGGTTGGGGCTAGGGTTACAGGTTAACAGCATCTCAAGGCAGAAGAATTTTTCTTAGTACAGAACAAAATGGAGTCTCTTATGTCTATTTCTTTCTACATAGACACAGTAACAGTCTGATCTGTCCTCCTTTTCCCCACACGTCACAGCTGGGGAAAAAGATTTGCTGTTCCCTCCAAGGGTAAAGCTGTCCACCTCTATCAGCACCCGGGCTTGGCAAGTCACTTTTTCTGTTATTTATTTTCCAGGCTGCCTCTTCCCCCCGCCCCCCCAACCCAGACGGAGTCTCGCTCTGTCGCCCAGGCTGGAGTGCGGTGGCGCGATCTCCGCTCACTGCAAGCTCCGCCTCCCGGGTTCCCGCCATTCTCCTGCCTCAGCCTCCCGAGTAGCTGGGACTACAGGCGCCCGCCACCACGCCCGGCTAATTGTTTGTATTTTTAGTAGAGACGGGGTTTCACCGTGTTAGCCAGGATGGTCTCGATCTCCTGACCTCGTGATCCGCCTGCCTCGGCCTCCCAAAGTGCTGGGATTACAGGCGTGAGCCACCGCACCCGGCCATTAGTTACTTACTTTTGAGACAGGGCCTCACTCTGTCACCCAGGCTGGCGTGCAGTGGCTGGCTCACTGCAACCTCCAAATCGTAGGCTCAAACAATCCTCCTGTGTCAGCCTCCCAAGTATCTGGGACTACGGGTATGTTCCACCAGGCCTGGCTAAGTTTTTTTTTTTTGAGATAGAGTTTCGCTCTTGTTGCCCAGGCTGGAGTACAATGGCGCTATCTCAGCTCACTGCAACCTCCGCCTCCTGGGTTCAAGCGATTCTCCTGCCTCAGCCTCCCACGTACCTGGGATTACAGGTTCCTACCACTACACTTGGCTAGCTTTTGTATTTTTAGTAGAGATGGGGTTTCACCATGTGGGCCAGGCGGGTCTCAAACTCCTGACATCAGGCGATCCACCTGCCTCAGCCTCCCAAAGTGCTGGGATTCCAGGCCTGAGCCACCATACCCGGCCAGTACAGTTATATTTATATCTGTCCTCTTGCTATTTGTTTTCAATGTGTCATTCAGTGGTGGGCTGAAATGTTAAACAAGTGGCTCTGAGGGTTGGTGGCGAGGAAGTCTTGGTTTGTAGTGTTTGCTGATTTGTTTTTTTGTTTGTTTGAGACAGAGTCTTGTTCTTGTTGCCGAGGCTCGAGTGCAATGGCGTGATCTCAGATCATGCAACCTCCACCTCCCAGGTTCAAGTGTGATTCTCCTGTCTCGGCCTCCTGAGTAGCTGGGATTACAGGCACCCGCCTGTAATTTCTGTATTTTTAGTAGAGATGGGGTTTCGCCGTGTTGGTCAGGCTGGTCTTGAGCTCCCGACCTCAGGTTATCCACCCGCCTTGGCCTCCCAAAGTGCTGGGATTACAGGCGTGAGCCACCGCGCCCTGCCGTGTTTGCTGATTTCTGTGGCATAAACACTCCCCTTGTGATTTTGTACTATCAGTGTGAAATCACAGCCCATGGACGTTGGTATAGGTACATATAGGAAGCCCCCATTAGGCAGCACGGGCTGGCCCTAGCATACCACTGACCCTTCATTCTTTGTATTCTTTTTTTTTTTTTTTTTTTTTTTTTTGAGACGGAGTCTCGCTCTGTCGCCCAGGCTGGAGTGCAATGGTGAGATCTCTGCTCACTGCAAGCTCCACTTCCCGGGTTCACACCATTCTCCTGCCTCAGCCTCCCGAGTAGCTGGGACTACAGGTGCCCGCCACCACGCCCTGCTAATTTTTTGTATTTTTTTAGTAGAGGCAGGGGTTTCACTGTGTTAGCCAGGATGGTCTCGATCTCCTGATATCGTGATCCATCCGCCTCGGCCTCCCAAAGTGCTGGGATTACAGGCGTGAGCCACCGTGCCCAGCCTTTTGTTCGTTCTTTTTACCAAGTTAGCCAGGCTGGTCTCGAACTCCTGGCCGCAGGCGTGAGCCACCGTGCTGGGCCAGATTTTCAGTCTCTTAATTCAGTCTTTGGAATATTTTACCACTCACTGTACAGCAGGAACAGTCTTGTTCTTGGCACACAGGAAACTGTGGTTTCATTTAATGATGGTAACTCGTGAACTGTTTTTCCTTTTTTCCCCCCAGTTCTTCAGCCTTAACCTAAGGTCTCATACTCGGAGCACTATGACATCGCCCCAGCTAGAGTGGACTCTGCAGACCCTTCTGGAGCAGCTGAACGAGGATGAATTAAAGAGTTTCAAATCCCTTTTATGGGCTTTTCCCCTCGAAGACGTGCTACAGAAGACCCCATGGTCTGAGGTGGAAGAGGCTGATGGCAAGAAACTGGCAGAAATTCTGGTCAACACCTCCTCAGAAAATTGGATAAGGAATGCGACTGTGAACATCTTGGAAGAGATGAATCTCACGGAATTGTGTAAGATGGCAAAGGCTGAGATGATGGGTAAGTAGAACCTGGGGTGTCCTGGTCATTTTTTTTTTTTTTTTTTTTTTTTTGAGATGGAGTCTCGTTCTGTCGCCCAGGCTGGAGTGTAAGGCTGGAGTGCAGTGGCGAGATCTGGGCTCACTGCAACCTCCGCCTCTGGGTTCAAGTGATTCTCCTATCTCAGCCTCCGGAGTAGCTGGGATTACAGGCGTGTTTCACCACACCTGGCTAATTTTTTTTTTTTTGTATTTTTAGTAGAGATGGGGTTTTGCCATGTTGGCCAGGCTGGTCTTGATCTCCTGACCTTGTGATCCGCCCACCTCAGCCTTCCAAAGTGCTGTGATTACAGGCATGAGCCACCATGCCTGGCTGACACTTTATGTACAATAATGTCTGATTTACGAAGTGTAAATTACTGTGTCAGGCTTACATCTAAGTATTTTACAGAGGACGGACAGGTGCAAGAAATAGATAATCCTGAGCTGGGAGATGCAGAAGAAGACTCGGAGTTAGCAAAGCCAGGTGGGTAAATACGGTCCTATGGTCATGAGTTTGGTGTTTGAGAGCATGCAAGGTGCATCACTTCTTCCTGGTTTTATTCATTTCTGGTAGTTTTTTTTTTTTTTGAGACGGAATCTTGCTCTGTAGCCCAGGCTGGAGTGTAGTGGCTCCGTCTCTGCTCATTGCAACCTCTGCCTCCCGGGTTCAAGCAATTCTCTGCCTCAGCCTCCTGAGTAGCCGGGATTACAGGCGGCCGCCACTACCCCCAGCTAATGTTTTGTATTTTTAGTAGAGATGGGGTTTCACTATCTTGGCCAGGCTGGTCTTGAACTCCTGACCTCAAGTGATCCACCCACCTTGGCCTCCCAAAGTGCCGGGATTACAAGCATGAGACACCGTGCCTGGCCCTCATTTCTGGTACTTGACAAAATAATTCAGAAAATCATCATCATCAACCTCAACTGTCCTATGGGCTGTCACTGCAGGTGAAAAGGAAGGATGGAGAAATTCAATGGAGAAACAGTCTTTGGTCTGGAAGAACACCTTTTGGCAAGGAGACATTGACAATTTCCATGACGACGTCACTCTGAGAAACCAACGGTTCATTCCATTCTTGAATCCCAGAACACCCAGGAAGCTAACACCTTACACGGTGGTGCTGCACGGCCCCGCAGGCGTGGGGAAAACCACGCTGGCCAAAAAGTGTATGCTGGACTGGACAGACTGCAACCTCAGCCCGACGCTCAGATACGCGTTCTACCTCAGCTGCAAGGAGCTCAGCCGCATGGGCCCCTGCAGTTTTGCAGAGCTGATCTCCAAAGACTGGCCTGAATTGCAGGATGACATTCCAAGCATCCTAGCCCAAGCACAGAGAATCCTGTTCGTGGTCGATGGCCTTGATGAGCTGAAAGTCCCACCTGGGGCGCTGATCCAGGACATCTGCGGGGACTGGGAGAAGAAGAAGCCGGTGCCCGTCCTCCTGGGGAGTTTGCTGAAGAGGAAGATGTTACCCAGGGCAGCCTTGCTGGTCACCACGCGGCCCAGGGCACTGAGGGACCTCCAGCTCCTGGCGCAGCAGCCGATCTACGTAAGGGTGGAGGGCTTCCTGGAGGAGGACAGGAGGGCCTATTTCCTGAGACACTTTGGAGACGAGGACCAAGCCATGCGTGCCTTTGAGCTAATGAGGAGCAACGCGGCCCTGTTCCAGCTGGGCTCGGCCCCCGCGGTGTGCTGGATTGTGTGCACGACTCTGAAGCTGCAGATGGAGAAGGGGGAGGACCCGGTCCCCACCTGCCTCACCCGCACGGGGCTGTTCCTGCGTTTCCTCTGCAGCCGGTTCCCGCAGGGCGCACAGCTGCGGGGCGCGCTGCGGACGCTGAGCCTCCTGGCCGCGCAGGGCCTGTGGGCGCAGATGTCCGTGTTCCACCGAGAGGACCTGGAAAGGCTCGGGGTGCAGGAGTCCGACCTCCGTCTGTTCCTGGACGGAGACATCCTCCGCCAGGACAGAGTCTCCAAAGGCTGCTACTCCTTCATCCACCTCAGCTTCCAGCAGTTTCTCACTGCCCTGTTCTACGCCCTGGAGAAGGAGGAGGGGGAGGACAGGGACGGCCACGCCTGGGACATCGGGGACGTACAGAAGCTGCTTTCCGGAGAAGAAAGACTCAAGAACCCCGACCTGATTCAAGTAGGACACTTCTTATTCGGCCTCGCTAACGAGAAGAGAGCCAAGGAGTTGGAGGCCACTTTTGGCTGCCGGATGTCACCGGACATCAAACAGGAATTGCTGCAATGCAAAGCACATCTTCATGCAAATAAGCCCTTATCCGTGACCGACCTGAAGGAGGTCTTGGGCTGCCTGTATGAGTCTCAGGAGGAGGAGCTGGCGAAGGTGGTGGTGGCCCCGTTCAAGGAAATTTCTATTCACCTGACAAATACTTCTGAAGTGATGCATTGTTCCTTCAGCCTGAAGCATTGTCAAGACTTGCAGAAACTCTCACTGCAGGTAGCAAAGGGGGTGTTCCTGGAGAATTACATGGATTTTGAACTGGACATTGAATTTGAAAGGTAAGAACTGTTTTCCCATCCCACGCTCCACTAGGAAGAGGCCAGCGTCTCCTTTGCCCTGTCGCTTACTGTCAGAATTTCCCTCTGGCTGGACTTCTTTCCAGCTTCATGTTCAACGTGGAGACACGACTTGGCAATTAGGAATTGGGGCTTTTTATTTTTGAGACGGAGTCTCGCTCTGTCCCCCAGGCTGGAGTGCAGTGGCGCGATCTTGGCTCACTGCAACCTCCGCCTCCCGGGTTCAAGTGATTCTCCTGCCTCAGCCTCCCGAGTAGCTGGGACTATGGGCGTGCACCACCTTGCCCGGTTAATTATTTTATTTTTTTGTAGAGATGGGGGTCTCAGTTTCTAGCCCAAGTTGGTCTTAAACTCCTGGGCTCAAGTGATCTTCCCACTTTGGCCTAGCAAAGTGTTGGGATTACAGGCATGAGCCACCTCACTCAGCCTTATCTATTATTTTATTTTTTTTGTAAAACTTAAGATCTATACTGGTAGCAAAGCATGTGATGCAATATTGTTTACTATAGACACTGTTTTAGGTTGGTGCAAAAGTAATTGTGGTTTTTGCCATTGAAATGTGGTTTGCAGATGCCCATCTCACCATGCAGGTACTAGTCCTAAGAGATGAACGTGTGTTCTCCTGCAGGTGCACTTACCTAACCATTCCGAACTGGGCTCGGCAGGATCTTCGCTCTCTTCGCCTCTGGACAGATTTCTGCTCTCTCTTCAGCTCAAACAGCAACCTCAAGTTTCTGGAAGTGAAACAAAGCTTCCTGAGTGACTCTTCTGTGCGGATTCTTTGTGACCACGTAACCCGTAGCACCTGTCATCTGCAGAAAGTGGAGTAAGTAGAAGCTCATCTTGCAAGGAAGACCCTGAACGATGACTAAGCTTCTTGTACTTTTGTTTTTTAAATTTGGAAATGTGCTGTTTCATCTCCATGTATTTGGGGATTTTCCAGCTGTCTTTTTTTTTTTTTTTTTTTTTGGTGAGACGGAGATTTACTCTTGTTGCCCAGGCTGGAGTGCAATGGCGCGATCTCAGCTCACTGCATCCTCCACCTCCCAGGTTCAAGCAATTCTCCTGCCTCAGCCTCCCGAGTAGCTGGGATTACAGGCATGTGCCACCTTGCCCGGCTAATTTTGTACTTTTAGCACAGACAGGTTTTCACCGTGTTGCCCAGGCTGATCTCGAGCTCCTGACCTCAGGTGATTTGCCTGCCTCGGCCTTCCAAAGTGCTGGGATTATAGGCATGAGCCGCTGCACCTGGCCCCTTTTTTATTTTTTATTTTTTCTGAGACAGAGTTTCACTCTGTCACCTAGGCGCTGGAGTGCAATGACTTAATCTTGTGTTTTTAGTAGAGGTGGAATTTTCTCCATCTTGGCCAGGCTTGTCTCGAACTCCTGACCTAAGGTGATGCGCCTGCCTCGGTCTTCGAAAGTGCTGGGATTACAGGCATGAGCCACCATGCCTGGCCCCAGCTATCTTTTTTTTGGTTTGTTTTGTTACCAAAACAAACCAAAAAGTAGGTACAAGTACAGGTTAGTTACACAGGTAACCGTGTGTCATAGGAGTTTGTTGTACAGATTATTTTGTCACCCAAGTATTAAGCCTAGTACCCCTTAGTTGTTTTTCCTGATCCTCTGCTTCTTGACTTTTTTTTTTTTTTTTGAGACAGTCTCGCTATGTTCCCCAGGCTGGAGTGCAGTGCAGCAATCTCGGCTCACTGCAAGCCCTGCCTCCCGGGTTCATGCCATTCTCCTGCCTCAGCCTCCCGAGTAGCTGGGACTACAGGCGCCCGCCACCACGCCCGGCTAGTTTTTTGTAATTTTAGTAAAGACGGGGTTTCACCGTGTTAGCCAGGATGGTCTTGATCTCCTGACCTCGTGATCCACCCGCCTCGGCCTCGGCCTCCCAAAGTGCTGGGATTACAGGCGTGAGCCACCACACCCGGCGAATTTTTTTTTCTTTTGAGATGGAGTCTTGCTCTGTTGCCCAGGCTGGAGTGCAGTGGTGCGGTCTCGGCTCACTGCAACCTCTGCCTCCTGGATTCAAGTGATTCTCCTACCTCAGCCTCCCGAATACCTGGGACTACAAGCATGCCCCTCCATGTGCAGCTAATTTTTGTATTTTTAGTAGAGACGGGGCTTCCCCATGTTGGCCAGGCTGGTCTCGAACTCCTGACCTCAGGCGATCTGCCTGCCTCGGCCCCAGCTAATTTATTTTTTGTAGAGATGGAGTTTCACCATGTTGCCCAGGTTGGTCTCAGACTCCTGACCTCAGGTTATCCTCCTGCCTCAGCCTCCCAAAGTGCTGGGGTTACAGACACGAGCCACTGCACCCGGCCAAGAACTTCTAATAATTTCTAAATGTGAAACAGCTTTTTGTTTATACATGCCTCCACACAATGTGAGTATTAATCACTCCAAGTGGAATCTCTTCTGCTTTTCCCTAGGATTAAAAACGTCACCCCTGACACCGCGTACCGGGACTTCTGTCTTGCTTTCATTGGGAAGAAGACCCTCACGCACCTGACCCTGGCAGGGCACATCGAGTGGGAACGCACGATGATGCTGATGCTGTGTGACCTGCTCAGAAATCATAAATGCAACCTGCAGTACCTGAGGTGGGTCTCACGGTCACGGCTCTCCCCAGCACCTGGAGTCCACTGCACCGTGTTGCTGGGGGATCTAGGAAAAAGGGTAACCACTCCAGATGCCGTCCCAGACAGGGAATGTATTCCTCAAACAGGCCTGTGTGGGGGAGTCGGCCTCTCCTCTTTCCCCCACCAGCTTGTCTTCTGTGTTGCATAACCAGCTATCCATGCAAAGAAACACCCCGAATTCTGTGCTGGGTTCCAGCTTTAGGGACATGCTATTCCTGACTGCACCTTGCCTAATTGTTGGGATTGAGAGCAGTGGCCCCCAGCCTTTTCTGCACCGCGGGCCGGTTTTGCACAAGACAGTTTTTTCCACAGACGGGTTTGGGGGTAGTTTTGGGATGAAACTGTTCGATCTCAGATCAGGCACAGGAGCTAATCGTTGGTGCCTGATCCTATGGAGTGCATGATCCTCGCACTTTGGGAGCCTGAGGAGAATGGATCATCAATCTCAGATCATCAGGAGTTAGGTATTCATAAGGAGCATGCAACCTTCTCTGCACTCAATGAGAATCTTTTTTTTTTTTTTTTTTCTTTGAGACAGTTTTATTCTTGTCACCCAGGCTGGAGCGCAGTGGCGCGATCTCGTTCACTGCAACCTCCGCCTCCTGGGTTCAAGCAGTTCTGCCTCAGCTTCCCGAGTAGCTGGGGTTACAGGCGTGCACCACCACGCCTGGCAAATGTTTGTATTTTTAATAGAGACAGGGTTTCACCATGTTGGCCAGGCTGGTCTCGAACTCCTGACCTCAAGTGATCCGCCTGTCTCGGCCTCCCAAAGTGCTAGGATTACAGGCATGAACCACTGCGCCTGGCCAGGATAAAATTTTTATTTTGAGTATTAAGCATCAATTTGCCCCTTCTAGTCCCAGCTACAGTGGATGCTGAGGTGGGAGGATCATTTGAGCCCAGGAGACAGGTTGTGGTGACCTGTGATCATGCCACTGCACTCCAGCCTGGGCAACAGAGCGAGATCCTGTCTCAAAAAAAAAATTTTTTTTTCCCCCCTGCAAAATCATCCACACAGGCCGTTTTGGTGAAACATTGCACAGAATTGTATTACAATCTCTTGGAGAAGTGGCTGGATGTTACCCTAATGGCCATGGGGATACTTGAAGAAGCAGAGGCAACATTAGATCTCTCCAGTAATTCAGGCCAGGGTTGGAGGCATGAGTAGAATGAGATAAACCAAAGACATAATGTCTTGGGAAGTGAAGCAGAAGAAGCTGATCTGGGCCAGGCGCGGTGGCTCACACCTGTAATCCCAGTACTTCGGTAGGCCAAGGTGGGTGGATCACCTGAGGTCAGGAGTTCAAGACCAGTGTGGCCAACATGGTGAAATCCCGTCTCTACTAAAAATACAAAAATTGGCGAATGCCTGTAATCCCAGCTACTTCGGAGGCTGAGGCAGGAGAATAGCTTGAACCCGGGAGGCGGAGGCTGCAGTGAGGTGAGATCACGCCTTTGCATTCCAGACTGGGCAACAGAGTGAAACTCTGTCTCAAAAAAAAAAAGCTGATAGGGTATACTCTGTCCTCCCAGAAGAATGACTTTTCCCACTCTTTTCACAGGTTGGGAGGTCACTGTGCCACCCCGGAGCAGTGGGCTGAATTCTTCTATGTCCTCAAAGCCAACCAGTCCCTGAAGCACCTGCGTCTCTCAGCCAATGTGCTCCTGGATGAGGGTGCCATGTTGCTGTACAAGACCATGACACGCCCAAAACACTTCCTGCAGATGTTGTCGTAAGTCTCCTCTTCCCATGGGCAGCTCTGGTTTAGTTCTGGGGCTATAGAAGAGAAAGGGTAACACCTGACTTACTGCGCCACCCACGTGGCGCCTCTTGCTGAAATAAACACCTGCTTCAGGCCCGGCACGGTGGCTCCTGCCTGTAATCTCAGCAGAGAGGTGGGCGGATCATCTGAGTTCAGGAGTTCGAGACCAACCTGGCCAACATGGTGAAACCCTGTTTCTATTAAAAATACCAAAAACAGGCCGGGTGCGGTGGCTCATGCCTGTAATCCCAGCACGTTGGGAGGCCAAGGCGGGGAGATCACGAGGTCAAGAGATCGAGACCATCCTGGCTAACATGGTGAAACCCCGTCTCTACTAAAAAATACAAAAAATTATCCAGGTGTGGTGGGCGCCTGTAGTCCCAGCTACTCAGGAGGCTGAGTCAGCAGAATGGTGTAAACCTGGGAGGCGGCGATTGGCAGTGAACCGAGATCGCGCCACTGCACTCCAGCCTGGGCGACAGAGCGAGACTCCGTCTCAAAAACAACACCTGTGTCCTGTGATGGCTCCAGGTGGACCGCTGCATCTTGGCCTTCTCGCCTTCCTGCTCTTTTGTGGCCATGATGACTCCCACAGGACAGAGGGCAGGGGATGAACAGGAAGGGCTGAAGCTGAGTACCCTAGCATGTGGACATCACTGAGCAGGTTGGAGTTGTGGAAATGTTCTCATCCTTCTACCATTTGTTTCATATTTTTGCAGGTTGGAAAACTGTCGTCTTACAGAAGCCAGTTGCAAGGACCTTGCTGCTGTCTTGGTTGTCAGCAAGAAGCTGACACACCTGTGCTTGGCCAAGAACCCCATTGGGGATACAGGGGTGAAGTTTCTGTGTGAGGGCTTGAGTTACCCTGATTGTAAACTGCAGACCTTGGTGTAAGTCCCTGCTGGGTGTGTGTGTGTGTGCACATGAATTCAAGCAGGAGAGACATGAAAGTACTTGTTAATTCATTTCAAATGTAACTTTTAAAAACCTGGTAAGAATTAAAGAACAGGCAGAGGCCAGGCGTGGTGGCTCATGCCTGTAATCCCAGCACTTTGGGAGGCCGAGGCGGGTGGATCATGAGGTCAGGAGATGGAGACCATCCTGGTTAACATGGTGAAACCCTGTCTGTACTAAAAATACCAAAAATTAGCCAGGTGTGGTGGCGGATGCCTGTAGTCCCAGCTACTTGGGAGGATGAGACAGGAGAATGGCGTGAACCTGGAAGGCGGAGGTTGCAGTGAGCCGAGATCGCACCACTGCACTCCAGCCTGGGCGACAGAACAAGACTCCTTCTCAAAAAAACAAAGAAACAAAAAAAACCAGGCAGATACAGGTAGAAACATGTTAATATTTGCATGTCAGCAGAGCCTCTTCCTGCTATGAAGGAAGATTTGAGATGAGTAGTTGGTTCTCGGATCTGATGCTTTGTGTGTGTTCTTTCAAATTCCTATGACATAGTACTGCCTGCTATTGGAGGTAGATTGAGTTATGTGGTAGGGCCAGTGGCACCTTTTTTTAAACTTTTATTTCCATAGGTTATTGGGGAACAGGTGGTGAATGGTGGGCAGATCACCTAAGGTTCGAGACCAGCCTGGCCAACATGGTGAAAACCCATCGCTACTAAAAAATACAAAAATTAACCAGGCTTGGTGGTGCGTGCCTATAGTACCAGCTACTCAGAAGGCTGAGGTAGGAGAATCGCTTGAATCTGGGAGGCAGAGGCTGCAGTGAGCTGAGATGGCGCCACTGCACTCCAGCCCGGGCGACAGAGTGAGACTCCGTCTCAAGAAAAAAACAAAAAAAAACTCAACAAAAATCCTTATTTGTAAAAGACATAGGTGGCAGGTTGGAATTGACCCACGAACTATAGTTGGCTGAATCTTGTTATATGGAAAGAAGCCCAGCGTGAGCTACCTGTTCACATTAA
Organism: Homo sapiens; assembly: GCF_000001405.40. Classification (NCBI taxonomy): domain Eukaryota; kingdom Metazoa; phylum Chordata; class Mammalia; order Primates; family Hominidae; genus Homo; species Homo sapiens. The sequence continues at coordinate 644,692 of NW_003571061.2, read as the reverse complement.
AATTATGGTTAGAAAAATATTCAAGAGATTGCATAGGGTTGAAGACCTGTTCCTGTTCAGAAATTCTAGCTAGTGGTCATTTCTGAGATTCATTTTTTTTTTTTTGGATGAAGTCTCACTCTGTCGCCCAGACTGGAATGCAGTGGTGTAATCTTGGCTGACTGCAACTTCTGCCTCCCAGGTTCAAGCGATTCTCCTGCCTCAGCCTCCCAAGTAGCTGGGATTACAGGTGCCCTCCACCATGCCTGGCTAATTTTTGCACTTTTAGTGGAGATGAGGTTTCACCATGTTGGCCAGGCTGGTCTTGAACTCCTGGCCTTAAGTGATCTGCCTGCCTCGGCCTCCCAAAGTGCTGGCGTTCCAGGCATGAGCCACTGTGCCTGGCTTAGAATAACTATTGTTAAACAAACAGTCACCTACCTGATCGTTATACGAAGTGTACCTGCACCAAAACATCACACTATACCCCTATATATGTAGAATGTGTCAGTTAAAGACAAAACTTAAACATGAAATAAAATGACAGGGAAAGTGAAATTTCCATAATCTAACCACGCAGAAAATAAGTGACCCAGGGCTCAGATCCTGTCCTGGGTCGGTCTGAACCCAGAGCCTAAGCTGTTGTCCCAGGCAGAGCTGGAAATGGATGGAATCAGAAGGCCATTTGGATGTTTTTTTTTTTTTTTTAACAGTCTCTCTCTGTCACCAGGCTGGAGTGCAGTGGTGCGATCTTGGCTCACTGCAACCTCCGCTTCCTGGGTTCAAGTAATTCTCCTACCTCAGCCTCCTGAGTAGCTAGGATTACAGGCATGGGCCGCCACACCTGGCTAATTTTTTTTTTTTTTTGAGATGGAGTTTCGCTCTTGCCCAGGCTGGAGTGCAATGGTGCAATCTCTGCTCACCACAACCTCCGTCTCCCCAGTTCAAGAGATTCTCCTGCCTCAGCCTCCTGAGTAGCTGGGATTACAGGCATGTGCCACCACACCTGGCTAATTTTGTATTTTTAGTAGAGACGGGTTTCTCCATATTGCTTAGGCTGGTCTTGAACTCCCGACCTCAGGTGATCTGTCTGCCTCAGCCTCCCAAAGTGCTGAGATTACAGGTGTGAGCCATCGTGCCCAGCTAATTTTTGTATTTAGTAAAGATGGGGTTTCACCACTTTGGCCAGGCTGGTCTTGAACTCCTGATCTTGTGATTCACCCACCTTGGTCTCCCAAAGTGCTGAGATTACAGGTTTGAGCCACCGCGCCCGGCCCGATTTTTGTATTTTTTAGTAGAGATGGGGTTTCACCATGTTGGCCAGGCTGGTCTTGAACTCCTGACCTCAAATGATCTGCCCGTCTTGGCCTCCCACTGCTGTGATTATAGGCGTGAGCCACTGTGCCCGGCCCATTTGCATGCTTTTATGTGCAAGCCCACCTGGAAGTATATAGCTCCAGTTCATGGGTCAATTCCTACCTGCCACCTATGTTTTATATAAATACTTTTTGTTGTTGTTGTTGTTTTCTTGAGACGGAGTCTCGCTCTGTCGCCCGGGCTGGAGTGCAGTGGCGCGATCTCAGCTCACTGCAGCCTCTGCCTCCCGGATTCAAGCGATTCTCCTGCCTCAGTCTTCTGAGTAGCTGGCACTACAGGCGTGCACCACCAAGTCTGGTTATATAGGTGGCGGGCACCTATAATCCCAGCTACTTGGGAGGCTGAGGCAGAAGAATCGCTTGAACCTGGGAGGCAGAGGTTGCAGTGAGCCAAGAGTGCAGCACTGCATTCCAGTATATAAGTGGAAGGTATATAGTGTTGGAAATAACTGCTTCACAGGGCGTTAGCCAGAGGGATAACAGGCTTCTCTTCCTTTGATTATCCTGTAGGTTACAGCAATGCAGCATAACCAAGCTTGGCTGTAGATATCTCTCAGAGGCGCTCCAAGAAGCCTGCAGCCTCACAAACCTGGACTTGAGTATCAACCAGATAGCTCGTGGATTGTGGATTCTCTGTCAGGCATTAGAGAATCCAAACTGTAACCTAAAACACCTACGGTAGGCGATTTTCTTTTTCTTCTTTCTTTCTTTTTTTGAGACAGGGTCTTGCTCTGTCCCCCAGCCTGGAGTGCAGTGGGGTGATTACGGCTCACTGCGGCTTCGGTCTTCCAGGCTTGATCGGTTCTCCCACCTCAGCCTCCTGAGTAGCTGGCTCTACAGGCATGTATTACCATGGCCAGGTAACTGTTTTCTGTAGAGATGAGGTCTTGTCATCTTTCCCGGGCTGGTTTTGAATTCTGGTGCTCAAGGAATCCTCCCACCTCGGCCTCCCAATGTGCTAGGATTACAGGCATGAGCCATCATGCCTGGCCTCATTTTTAAAGTGTTTGGAAATCTGGAAATCCTTAATTTCTATGTTTTCTTTTTTTTTTTTTTTTTTTGAGACGGAGCCTCGTTCTAGTTGCCCAGGCTGGAGTGCAGTGGCGCGATCTCGGCTTACTGCAACCTCTTCCTCCCGGGTTCTCGCTATTCTCCTGCCTCAGCCTCCTGAGTAGCTGGGACTACAGATGCCCGCCACCGTGCCTGGCTAATTTTTTTTGTATTTTTAGTAGAGATGGGTTTCACAGTGTTAGCCAGGATGGTCTCGATCTCCTGACCTCATGATCTGCCCGCCTTGGCCTTCCAAAGTGCTGGGATTACAGGCGTGAGCCACCACGCCCGGCCAATTTCTATGTTTTCAATATCTCAGACTGTATCACTTCGGATCCAGTTTTAAGATCAAACCCCTCCAGAAACTGAATATATGTGGGTGGGCACTTCTAAAGTCAGGTAGAGGGCCTGGAGAAGTGAAATATATATAACAATGGCCCCCAGTGACCTGGACTTCAGCAGCATGCTGCTTCTGCTGGGATCCAGTAATCAGGAAGCAGTGAGCCTGCCCCACCTCATAAACCCAGGGAACCATAGGTGGGATACCACCCCCAGAAAATGCAAAGTCTCCACAAATGGAATGGCGAGCTCTTCATCACTTCTCTCCCCAAAGTTTGTCAGTTGCATCTCTTGGATGCAACCTATTTTCCAACTAGAATCTGCAATCCTAATGCAAAGAGAATCTGCACGTCATTACTACTTAGCTTTGCTGTAGAGTAAAGAAAAAAAACACTAGAACACAGGGTACTTTTTTTCTTTTTTCAGACAGAGTCTCGCTTTGTCACCCAGGCTGGAGTGCAGTGGTGCGATCTTGGCTCACTGCAACCTCAGCCTCCAAGGTTCAAGCGATTCTCCTGATTGAGCTGAGTAGTTGGGATTACAGGCGTGCACCACCATACCCAGCTAATTTTTGTATTTTTAGTAGAGACCAGGTTTCACCATGTTAGCCAGACTGGTCTCAAACTCCTGACCTCAAGTGATCCACCTGCCTCAACCTCCCAAAGTGCTGGGATTACAGGCATGAGCCACCATTCCTGGCCTCCTGAAGTTTCTTAACCCATCCCCCTGAGGAATATTTCAAGCCTCAAGCCAGACCGTGATACCTTTATTTCCAAAGACTCAAAAGCTCAATGCAAACGGGTGGATTACCTGGTGTCTTGTTCCTGTAATCTCAGCTATGACTGTAATCCTAGATTCTCGGGAGGCTGGGGCAGGAGAATCGCTTGAACCCAGGAGGCGGAGGTTGCAGTGAGCCGAGATCACGCCATTGCACTCCAGCCTTGGCAACAAGAGTGAAACTCTGCCTTAAAAAAAACAAAACCAAAGGCTTCTACAGTGGCCTACAGGGCCTTATGGGGGATCCTCGTGTAAGTTATGAGCCATAAATCATTCTACTTTCTCACTAGCTCAGTATTTTATTTACAAGATTCCCTCCCCCAGTTAGCATGCTGGTTCATGATCTACCATCCTTCAGTTTCTTTCCTCATATCACTTTCCAAAAGAGGACTTAAATGACCAGCATAAGTCTAGCCAATCAATGCCTCTCTGTTTGACTTACCTCTACCCTGTTTATTTTAATACCATCATCCATTGTCTTCAATAGAACATATCGAGATGTCTGCTGTCACTAAAAACTCTGAGGACAAGGATTTCTTCTGCTCACTCCCCTCTGCCTTTCCTCACTACTGGAGCCCCAGCAAATATGCTGCTTGTTTTTTTGTTTTGTTTTGTTTGAGACCAAGTCTCACTCTTTCACCCAAGCTGGAATGCAGTGGTGATATGTTGGCTAACTACAACCTCTGCCTCCTGGTTCAGGCGATTCTCCTGCCTCTCGAGTAGCTGGAATTATAGGTGGTTCCACCATACCTGGCTAATTTTTGTATTTTCATTTTATGTTATATATTTGTGAGATGGAGTCTCATTCTATTGCCCAGGCTGGAGTGCAGTGGCGCAATCTGGGCTCACTGTAACCTCCGCCTCCCAGGCTGAAGCGATTCTTGTGCCTCAGCCTCCCAAGTAGCTAGCATTAAAGGCACACACCACCATGCATGGCTAATTTTTTGTAGAGATGGGGTTTTGCCATGTTGGCCTGGCTGGTCTCGAACTCCTGACCTCAGGTGATCTACCCTCCTCGGCCTCCCAAGGTGCTGGGGCTACAGGTGTCTGTCCCCACGCCCTGCCTAATCTTTGTATTTTTAGTAGAGATGGGGTTTGACCGTGTTGGCAAGGCTGGTCTCGAACACCTGGCCTCAAGTGATCCACCCGCCTTGGCCTCCCGAAGTGTTGGGATTACACGCTTGAGCCACTACCTGCTCAGTGAATGCGTGGATTTCCATGTTCTTCCTCAACAGCCTCTGGAGCTGCTCCCTCATGCCTTTCTATTGTCAGCATCTTGGATCTGCTCTCCTCAGCAATCAGAAGCTTGAAACTCTGGACCTGGGCCAGAATCATTTGTGGAAGAGTGGCATAATTAAGCTCTTTGGGGTTCTAAGACAAAGAACTGGATCCTTGAAGATACTCAGGTATGGGTTTTTTGTTTTGTTTTGTTTTGTTTTTTGTTTTTGTTTTTTTGAGATGGAGTCGTGCTCTGTCATTCAGGCTGGAGTGCAGTGGCGCAATCTTGGCTCACCGCAACCTCTGCCTCTCAGGTTCAAGCAATTCTCCTGCCTCAGCCTCATGAGTAGCTGGGCCTAGAGGCATGCCAACATGTCCAGCTAATTTTTTTCTTTTTCTTTTTTTTTTTTTGAGACGGAGTTTTGTTCTTGTAGCCCAGGCTGGAGTGCAGTGGTGCGATCTTGGCTCACTGCAACCCCCACCTCCTGGGTTCAAGCGATTCTCCCACCTTGGCCTCCCAAGTAGCTGGAATTACAGATGCCTGCCACCATGCCTGGCTAATTTTTTAGTAGAGAGGGGTTTCACCATGTTGGCCAGGCTAGTCTTGAACTCCTGACCTCAGGTGAGCCACCTGCCTCGGCCTCCCAAAGTGGTGGGATTACAGAGGTGAGCCATTGCACCCGGCCTTTTTGGTTTTTGCTTTTTGGGATGGAGTCTCACTGTTGCCCAGGCTGGAGTGCAGTGGCGCGATCTTGACTCACTGCAGCCTCCTTCTCACAGGTTGAAGCGATTTTCCTGCCTCAACCTCCTGAGTAGCTGGGATTACAGGTACACACCACCACAGCTGGCTAATTTTTTTTTTTTTTTTTTTTTTTTAAAGACAGAGTCTCTCTCTGTCCCCCAGGCTGGAGTGCAGTGGCGCTATCTCGGCTCAGTGCAACCTCTGCCTCCTGGGTTCAAGTGATTCTCCTGCCTCAGCCTCCTGAGTAGCTAGGATTACAGTCGCTCGCCACCACACCCAGCTAATTTTTGTATTTTTAGTAGAGATGGGGTTTTGCCATGTTGGCCAGGCTGGTCTCGAGCTCCTGACCTCAGGTGATCTTCTCGCCTTGGCCTCCCAAAGTGCTGGGATTACAGGCATGAGCCACTGCACCTGGCCAATTTTTGTAGTTTTTAGTAGAGATGGGGTTTCACCATGTTGGTCAGGTTGGTCTCAAACTCCCAACCTCAGGTGATCCACCTGCCTCAGCCTCTCAAAGTGCCGGGATTACAGGCGTGAGCCACTGTGCTCGGCCCTGGGATGGCTGTTTCACATGGTGAATTTCCCATGCAGAGAAGAGTTTTTTTGGGAGTGTGTGTACTCTTTGTAGGGATCAACTTAAGGCATCTTTCTATAGCACACTCCTAGCTTAGGAGATAATTTAAAAATTAGATACTTTTCTAAAATGCTCTGTGAATTGAATATTGTCCAACTTTCCCCCAAAACACTTAGTCCTAGGCATACTGAGAGTTTAAATCATCCTGGAGTACAGACTGGAAGCTTGTGTGTATGTGTGTGCATGAGCACACACACACACACACACACACCCCTAATCATTATATCCAAAAATAGGTAGTTCCCAGAGCTGTCCTGGGTCTTAGCTTTTCAGAAGATCGTCCTACAGATGCTCCCTTAGTTGTGACCCGTGTATATCTTTTCAATGACTTATTTGTATTTTTTATTTTTTTTTGAGACGGAGTCTTTTTTTTGAGACGGAGTCTGTCTTTTTTTTTGAATCTGTCTTTTTTTTGAGACAGAGACTCCAGTCTCTGTCGCCCAGGCTGGAGTGAAGCGGTGCGATCTCGGCTCACTGCAAGCTCCACCTCCCGGGTTCACGCCATTCTCCTGCCTCAGCCTCCCGAGCAGCTGGGACTACAGGCGCCCGCCACCACGCCCGGCTAATTTTTTGTATTTTTAGTAGAGATGGGGTTTCACTATGTTGGCCAGGCTGGTCTCGAATTCCTGACCTCAGGTGATCTGCCCACCTCGGCCTCCCAAAGTGCTGGGATTACAGGCGTGAGCCACCGCGCCCGGCCTCAGTGACTTATTTTAACGTAATCTACCTTTAGTTTCTTCTTGCCTTTGTCTTTTCTTTTCTGAGACAACGTTTTGCTCTGCTGCACTGTGTGGCCGTGTTGCCGAGGTTCTCAAACTCCTGGCTTCAAACGATCCTCCTGTCTTGGCCTCACAAAGTACCCGGATTGCAGGCGTGAGCCACTGTGCACAGCCCACTTGTCTTATTCAAGAGTTATTTTAGTTGTAGAGATGATACGCATGTAAACTGCTTCATGATGCCCAGTGTTGCATTATTGGAACGCTAAGCATGTGGGAGTTATTTATATCCTGCTCAAGGTACGATTTTTCACACGTCTGCAGTTCAAATAATTGTAACCTCTGGCATAAATGGGTTAAGGTTTTAGGGGTATATCATGAAACTTGAGCTAAATAGTGTCATGCTTCTCTTGTTGGTGGGACCGAGGTCTGTAATGCCACCAAGGACTATTGGTGACAAATCTCTAGCCCCCTGTGGTCTCTTATGTCATATGTTTGGGGCGTATTTCTTTTCTCATTCCTCAGTTCCTCCTTTGGGAGGCCAAGGTGGGAGGATTGTTTGAGGCCAGGAGTTTGAGACCAGCCTGGGCAACATAGCAAGCCAGTGTCTCCACAATCACCACCCCTCATGTTCACATACACAGGCTTGCATGCTGCAGCCACGTTAGAGCCAAGTTTGCTATCATTAACCCTGGGGTTCACTCTGGCATTCTCTTAGTTCTACTGAAGGTTTGATTTGCCACTATTTTTTATTTATTTATTTGGAGGCAGAGTCTCGCTCTGTCACCCGGGCTGCAGTACAGTGGTGCGGTATTGGCTCACTGCAACATCTGCCTCCCAGGTTCAAAGCGATTCTCCTGTCTCAGCCTCCTGAGTAGCTGGTATTACAGTTGTCTGCCACCATGCCCAGCTAATTTTTGTATTTTTAGTAGAGACGGGGTTTCACTATGTTGGCCAGGCTGGTCTCGAATTCCTGACCTCAGGTGATCTGCCCGCCTCGGCCTCCCAAAGTGCTGGAATTATAGGCGTGAGTCACCGTGCACCAGCCTGATTATCTATTTTTTAAATTTATTTTTTAAAGGCATGTTTTACTCTGTTACCAGGCTGGAGTGCAGTAGGGCAATCTCTAGCTCGTTGCAACCTCCGCCTCCTGGGCTCAAGTGATCCTCTTGCCTCCGCCTCCCGAGTAGCTGGGACTATAGGCGTGCACCACCATTCCTGGCTAACTTTTTCTATTTTTGGTAGAGACAGGGTTTCACCGTGTTGCCCAGGCTGGCCTTGAACTGCGGAGCTCAAGCAATCTGCCTGCCTTGGCCTCCCAAAGTGCTGGGACTACAGGTGCGAGACACCGTGCCTGGCCATAATCTTTTTTTTCTTAGACTTATAAGGATCCCCATTGTGTGGGTCTAAATTTCTTTTTAGAAAACTTTTCTGACTGGGTGCTGTGGCTCACATCTGTAATCCCATGGCTTTGGGAGGCCGAGGTGGATGGATCACTTGAGGCCAGAAGTTCGAGACCAGCCTGGCTAACATGTCGAAACCCCATCTCTACTGTAAATACAAAACTTAGCCAAGCGTGGTGGTGCACACCTGTAATCACAGTTACTCAGGAGCCTGAGGCATGAGAATTGCTTGAACTTGGGAGCTGGAGGTTGCAGAGAGCCAAGATGGCACCACTGTACCCCAGCCTGGGCAACAGAGCAAGACCCTGTCCCCCAGAAAATCCCAAAAACGTTTCCTGCTTTGAGTGTTTGAAAACAGATATTCAGGCATCCTGGGTAGTTGAGAATGAATTTCTGGGAACATTTGTGTTCTCTGATCCCTCCAGGTTGAAGACCTATGAAACTAATTTGGAAATCAAGAAGCTGTTGGAGGAAGTGAAAGAAAAGAATCCCAAGCTGACTATTGATTGCAATGCTTCCGGGGCAACGGCACCTCCGTGCTGTGACTTTTTTTGCTGAGCAGCCTGGGATCGCTCTACGAATTACACAGGAAGCGGGATTCGGGTCTCTAAGATGTCTTATGAATGCAGGTCAGAGGGTCACATGTTAACACTAGAGTCTGTCGAGAGGTAGGATTTGACACTGGTTTTCTCACTATTTTTGGGAGATTCTGCACGAGTCACGCACCCCCTTCACATGACGCTATGTACTTTCTCACAGGGATAATAAAGTTAGAGCACTCTCGTTGCAGCTGCGTTTATTGACATGCTCAGGAGCAAACCTGCAATAAACATGGTACTCTGTGCTTTGTCTAGGAGGAAGTATTGCTAAGAAGTTCAGGGATGATTCGGTTGATTCTTCTATTTCTTTTCTTCCCTAACTCAGGCGCCATGTGGTCTACTATCTGCCAGGTGCATCTATGTGATCAGTGTGTCTTTGTGACTTATGTGATCATAACTTATGTGATCAACCCACGCATTGACAAACGGGCCAGATAGTTCATATGCTTGGCACTGTGGGCCCCGCGGTCTCTCATCAGCTCTCAGCTGTGCCTTTGGACATGGAAGCAGCGCAGGGCCTGGCTGGCACCTGCGGAGGCTTCCCAGAAACAGCTCGTGGGCCATGGGCAGCCAGCCCTGTTCTAATCTATCCTGTTACTCACAAAGCACAAGCTTACAGTCACTGTTGCCTTTAATTCAGAAGATGGCCCTGCCTCACGCTGGTTCTGCTCGGCTCCCACGGGCCGCCTCCTACTCTCTGTGTGTGTGTGTATGTGTCTCTCTCTCTCTCTGTCTCTGTGTGTCTCTCTTTGTTTCTCTGTGTCTGTCTTTTTGTCTCTCTGTCTCTGTGTCTGTTTCTGTGTGTGTGTCTCTGTGTCTGTCTGTGTTTCTCTGTGTGTGTCTCTGTCGCTGGGCGTTTCTATCTCTGTCTTTGTATGTGTCTCTCTGTTCTTTCGTTTTTTTTTTTTGTTTTTTTTTTTGAGACGGAGTTTCACTCTTGTCGCCCATGCTGGAGTGCAATGGCGTGATCTCAGCTCACTGCAACCGCGCCTCCCAGGTTCAAGTGATTCTCCTGCCTCAGCCTTCCGAGTAGCCGGAATTACAGCCCTGTGCCACCATGCCTGGCTAATTTTTTGTATTCTTACTAGAGACGGGGTTTCACAATGTTGGCCAGGCTGTTCTCGGACTCCTGACCTCAGGTGATCTACCCGCCTCAGCCTCCCAGAGTGGTGGGATTACAGGCGTGAGCCACCGAGCCCAGCCTGTCTGTCTGTTTCTGTGTGAGTCTGTGTGGCTGTCTCTGGGAGTCTCTGTGTATGTCTCTGTCTCTCTCGCCTCCCCGTTTCTCTCGGCTTCCCATTGCCATGGCAAACACAGCTTTTCCACACCCTGTATTTGGTCATTCATAGAAAATGCATAGAAGTCACTCCGCAATTTTCCTTAAGAATGAAAAGTTGTCACCATGATGTTAGCACTGGCTTCCAGGCGCTGCCAAAAGGGACTGACCCCTCTCCTCACTTGGCTCTCCACGCTTGCGGTAGGTGATGAGACTATTTTAATAAGAGCAGCCAGGCGCTGTGGCTCACACCTGTAATCCCAGCACTTTGGGAGGCCGAGGCGGGCGGATCACCTGAGGTCAGGAGTTCGAGACCAGCCTCAACATGGAGAAACCCCGTCTCTACTAAAAATACAAAATTAGCCGGGTGGGGTGGTGTATGCCTGTAATCCCAGCTACTCGGGAGGCTGAGGCAGGAGAATCGCTTGAACCCGGGAGGCGGAGTTTGCGGTGAGCTGAGATTGTGCCACTGCACTCCAGCCTGGGCAATAAGAGCAAAACTCTTGTCTCGAAAAAAAAAAAATAAGAGCATTGATATGGGGAAAGTTGTCATGGTCCCAGGCACAAAAACACGGGCATATGGCTAATGCTTTAGGTTGAAAGCTTGTATGACAAAGTTTTCTTTTCTTTTTTTTTTTTTTTTTTTTTTTGAGATGGAGTCTTGCCTCTGTCGCCCAGGCTGGAGTGCAGTGGTGCGATCTTGGCTCACTACAACCTCTGCCTCCTGGGTTCAAGTGAGTCTTCTGTCCCAGCCTCCGGAGTAGCTGAGACTAGAGGTGTGCGTCACCATGCCTGGCTAATTTTTGTATTTTTAGTAAAGACGAGGTTTCACCATGTTAGCCAGGCTGGTCTTGAACTCCTGACCTCAGGTGATCTGCCCGCCTTGGCCTCCCAAAGTGCTGGGATGACAGGCGTGAGCCACTGTGCCTGGCCTGACAAAGTTCTTTTTACTAACCCAAACCTGGAGGTTGAGTGGCTTCAGCACTGAATGATCCCATGAAGGCCCTCATTTATCTTGCTGTTGAGCATTGCTGTCTTTCGTGAGCCCTTGTCAAGATAAGTCTTCTCAAATGCTCGAGATCACTGTGGTGTTTAAGGCTACAGTCAGCTGGTAGTAATGCAGGCTGTGGGTGGTAACAGTGTTTAGCGGGATACAGCTCACACCGATGGGAAGGGTGGTAGAGACAGCGTGAATAAAGGAAGTGGTCAGGTGATGAGAGGTAGGGCTGAGTCAACATTTAGGGTTCTACATGCACATGAAGTTCCCGTGTAGAATTTGCTAAAAATAAAGACACAAAGATAGTAGGTAGAGGCTGGGAGTGAAAACATCTGGGTCGGACTCTGCTGCATATTTAATTGAAGTTTTTTTCCCCTAAATATTTTATCTACTTAAAAATTTTGATTTTGTTTAAGATAGTAGTCTTTTTTTTGGTGGGGTGGTGGGGCGGACAGAGTCTCACTTGGTTGCCTAGGCTGGAGTGCAGTGGCGTGATTTCACCATGTTGGCCAGGCTAGTCTCAAACTCCTGACCTCAGGTGAGCCACCCGCCTCGGCCTCCCAAAGTGCTGGCATGACAGGCGTGAGCCACCGTGCCCAGCCAAGATGGTGGTGGTGCTGTGTTGCCCACAGCCGGGTTGGAGTGCAATGGTGCGATCTTAGCTCACTGCAGCCTTAAACTCAAGGAATCCTCCCACCTGAGCCTCCTGAGCTGGGATTACAGGTGCATGCCAAACATGCTTGGCTAATTTTAAAATATTTTATAGAGATGGAGTCTTGCTGTATTGACCAGGCTTGTCTTGAACTGCTGGCCTCCAGTTATCCCCTTGCCTTCGCTTCCCAAAGTGCTGGGATTACACGCGTGAGCTGCCACACTGGGCTCTTACCCACTTACCAGTAATAAACACAGAACTCCTAAAGTGCTGTGATTACGGCGCCTGACCAGCCTTAATTACCTCTGAAAAGCCCTGTGTCCAAATAGAGTCACATCTGGGGTAGGGCTTGTACATGACGTTTGGTGGGACCAATTCAGTCCGTAGCAAGGACTGTCCTGTGTATCACGTGATGTATAGCAGCACCCCTGGACTTGGATGAGCCTGAGCCTGCCCCCACTGCAACTCGTGACAACCAAAAAACCTCTCGGGATGTGGCCAGATACCCCCATGGGGACAAAATCACCCCCAGTTAAGAATGGCTGGCTCAGCCATTCACAATTGCAAAGATGTGGAACCAACCGAAGTGCCCATTGAATAATGAGTGGATTGTGGGCGGCAAGGCACCCAGGCACCGAGGCAAGAGACAGAGGACACGAGCTGTTCCAGTATAATAAAATATAAAACAAGAATTGTTATACCAGATATAGATCTTAGATATGATTATATATGAGTATCATTAATCATTAGCCGGTAGCAATTACTTTTTATTCCAATATTATAATAATCCTCACTCTATAATCATAGCCTAGGAAAAACCAGGCCATACAGAGATAGGAGCTGAGGGGACATAGTGAGGTGTGACCAGAAGACAAGAGTGCGAGCCTTCTGTTATGCCCGGACAGGGCCACCAGAGGGCTCCTTGGTCTAGCGGTGACGCCAGCGTCTGGGAAGACACCCGTCACCAAGCGGATCATGGTCCAGCGGTAGCAAAAGGTGTCAATTAACAACACCCGCTACTTAGCAGACCGGGAAAGGGGCAGCGGGTGGGGGGGGGGGTCTCCCTTTCCCCGGGGGAGTTTAGAGAAGACTCTGCTCCTCCACCTCTTGTGGAGGGCCTGACATCAGTCAGGCTCGCCCGCAGTTATCCGGAGGCCTAACCGTCTCCCTGTGATGCTGTGCTTCGGTGGTCACGCTCCTAGTCCGCCTTCATGTTCCATCCTGTACACCTGGCTCTGCCTTCTAGATAGCAGTAGTAAATTAGGGAAAGTACTAATAGTCCCTGATATGCAGAAATAATGGCGTAAGCTGTCTTTCTCTCTGTCTCCTCTCCCTCTCTGCCTCGGCTGCCAGGCAGGGAAGGGCCCCCTGTCCAGTGGACACGTGACCCACGTGACCTTACCTATCATTGGAGGTGACTCACACTCTTTACCCTGCCCCTTCTGCCTTGTATCCAATAAATAACAGCGCAGCCAGACATTCGGGGCCACTACCGGTCTCCGCGCATTGGTGGTAGTGGTCCCCCGGGCCCAGCTGCCTTTTCTCTTGTCTCTTTGTCTTGTGTCTTTATTTCTACACTCTCTCGTCGCCGCACACAGGGAGAGACCCACCGACCCTGTGGGGCTGGTCCCTACAGTGGATAAAGAAAACGTGGTGTCTATGTACCATGGAATACTATTCAGCCATTAGAAGGAATGAAATAATGTCATTTCCAGCAATTTGGATGGAGCTGGAGGCCATTATTCTAACAGGAGTAGAATCCATATGTTCTCACTTTTTTTTTTTTTTTTTAAGACAGTTTTGCTCTTGTTGCCCAGGCTAGAGTGCAATGGTGTGATCTTGGCTCACCGCAACCTCCGCCTCCTGGGTTCAAGCGATTCTCCAACCTCAGCCTCCCTAGTAGCTGGGATTATAGGCACGTGCCACCACACCCAGCTATGTATTTTTCTATTTTTAGTAGAGATGGGGTTTCACCATGTTGGCCAGACTGGTCTTGAACTCCTGGCCTCAGGCGATACACCTGCCTCAGCACCCCCAAAGTGATGGGATTACAGGCGTGAGCCACCGCCACCGTGCCTGGCTCTGTATGTTCTCAGTGGGAGCTAAGCTGTTGGTACACAAAGGCAGAGTGATGTAATGGGCTTCAGAGTCTCAGAAGGGGGAGGGCAGAAGGGAGGCCACAGATAAAAAACTACACATTAGGCCAGTGTGGTCGCTCACGCCTGTAATCTCATCACTTTGGGAGACCCAGGCGGGCCGATCACTTGAGGCCAGGAGTTCGAGACCATCCTGACCAAGATGGTGAAACCCTGTCTTTACTTACTAAAAGTACAAAAAATTAGCCAGGCATGGTAGTGGGTGTCTGTAATGCCAGCACTTTGGGAGGCCAAGGTGGGAGAATCGCTTGAACCCGGGAGGCGGAGGTTGTTGCAGTGAGCTGAGGCCACGACACTGCACTCCAGCCTGGGTAACAGAGCGAGACTTGGTCTCTAAATAAATAAAATAAAGGGCTCAGACTCTATCTCAAAAAATAAATGAATAAGGCCGGGTGCGGTGGCTTACACCTGTAATCCCAGCACTTTGAGAGGCCGAGGCGGGAGGATCACGAGGTCAGATCGAGACCATCCTGGCTAACATGGTGAAACCCCGTCTCTACTAAAAATACAAAAAATTAGCCGGGCTAGGTGGCGGGCGCCTGTAGTCCCAGGAGAATGGTGTGATCCCGGGAGGCGGAGCTTGCAGTGAGCAGAGATCGCGCCACTGCAGTCCAGCCTGGGCGACAGAGCAAGACTCTGTCTCAAGAAAAATAAATGAATAAAAACAATAAGAAAGAAAAATAGCCACGTCTTACGTAGGCTGAGACTGGAGAGTTTCCGTGGACTCGTAACCCTGCCTTTGTCCCTGCACTGAAGGGTGTAAGGTGGTTGCTTTCTGCATGAGCCAGTGTTTCTCAGCCTTGGTGCTGCTGCCATCTGGGGCTGCCCTGGGCATTGTAGGAAGCTGAGCAGCACCCCTGGACCCTACCTACCAGATGCCAGTAGAACCCCTCCCCAAGTCATGACAATTAAAAATTACCATGGGCATTGCCAAATGTCCCCTGGAGTGGAGAGCAAAATCACCCAGCAGAGAACTGCTAGGCTAGAGAGGTGCAGGATCCTAGGCTGGGTGCGGGGGCCTGTAATCCTCGCACTTTGGGAGGCCAAGGTGGGCGGATCACATGAGGTCGGGAGTTCAAGACCAACCTGGCTAACATGGTAAAACCCCCATCTCCACTAAAAATACAAAAATTAGCCAGGCGTGGCGGCACATGCCTGTAGTCCCAGCTCCTTGGGGGGCTGAGGCAGGAGAATCGCTAGACCCCAGCAGGCAGAGGTTGCAGTGAGCCAAGATGGCACCACTGCATTCCATCCTGGGCGACAGAGCAAGACTGTAGTTTTTTTGTTTTTGTTTTTGTTTTTTTTTGAGGAGTCACAGTCTGTCACTCAGGCTGGAGTGCAGTGGCGCAATCTCGACTCACTGCAACCTCTGCCTCCCGGGTTTGAACGATTCTCCTGCCTCAGCCTCCCGAGTAGCTGGGATTGGCTCTGGTGGTGGAGGTGCCTGCAAACCTGTTGGTACTGTAACCGTCAGAAAACGAGTAGCAAGAAGTGTCCGAGAAAGCCAGAGAAGTGAGTCCTTCGAGGAGGAAGTGGTCAACGTGTCAAATACAACTGTGGGGGAGCAATAATGAGAAGGGCTGAAAAGGGTCACTGCATGTTCCAGGAAGGAAGCTCATTAGTGTTGGTCACACAGACAGCTTCAGAGGAAGTGTGGGGAGAGAAGCCAGTTTCTAGCGGGTGGGGAGCACAGGTGAGAAGTCAGAACAAAGGCCACCAGTGTGGGTTATGTCTTAGGGAGCGTGGGTCTTCTGGCTGGGCGCGGTGGCTCAGTAATCCCAGCGACTCTGGAGGCTGAGGCAGGAGAATCGCTTGAACCCGGAAAGCGGAGGTTGCAGTGATCCGAGATTGCAGCACTGCACTCCAGCCTGGGTGTGCAGAGCGAGACTCAAAAAAAAAAAAAAAAAAAAAAAAATAGAACAGTTGATCTCCTAGAAGTGAGAGTAGGTGGAGGTTATCAGGGGCTGGGGGTGGTAGGAGAGGAAGATGTTGGTCAAAAAGCACAAGTAGCTGGGTGTGGTGGCTCACGTCTGTAATCCCAGCACTTTGGGAGGCCAAGGCGGGTGGATCACCTGAGACCAGGAGTTTGAGACCAACATGGAGAAACCCCGTCTCTACTAAAAATACAAAAATTAGCCGGGCGTGGTGGCACGCACTTGTAGTCCCAGCTACTCGGGAGGCTGAGGCAGGAGAATCGCTTGAACCCGGGAGGCGGAGGTTGCAGAGTCAAGATCGCGCCACTGCACTCCAGCCTGGGTGACAGAGCAGGACTTCGTCTCAAAAAAAAAAAAAAAAAAAAAGCACAATATTCAGTTATAAGATGAGTTAGTTCTGGGGGTCTGATATATGGGATGGCGATTATGGTTAACACAAGCAGCTTTTAAATGTCTTTACCCCTGCTCCCCGTTACCAGCCAAAGCTGTGAAGTTCCAGGCCCTTGGTGTTTCGAACAAAGAATTGGGTGTGATACACACACATAGCAAAGCGGCATAAGTTTATTAAGCATAGGATTACACTCTTGGAGAGGGGAGAGCAGGCGGACCTCTGCGAAATGAGATCGGCATCAGCTCGCTGTACTTTGGGTCTTTTTTTTTTTTTTTCTTATTAGGAATATACAACCATTTATTCACTGTTCACTAGTATTTACAATAAAGTGAACAAAATACAGTTCAATAACATTCAGATTACCACAAAGTTGTGTTTCCTGGCTTTTACTGAACCAGTAAAGCAGATACTGAAAAGACTGAGCCTATGTGGTTTTTTTTTTTTTTTTTTTGAGATGGAGTCTCGCTCTGTCGCCCAGGCTGGAGTGCAGTGGCACGATTTTGGCTCACCGCAACCTCCGCCTCCCAGGTTCAAGCGATTCTCCTGCCTCAGCCTTCTGAGTAGCTAGGATTACAGGTGCCTACATGTAAGGAATGAGTTGGGGTAAAGAAAAAATACGCGAGTCAGCAGTTTATTTATTTTGAGAGGGAGTCTCGCTCTGTTACCAGGCTGGAGTGCAGTGGTGCAATCTCGGCTTACCACAACCTCTGCCTCCCGGGTTCAAGTGATTCTGCTGCCTCAGCCTCCCGAGTAGCTGAGATTACGGGTGCAAGCCACTGCGCCTGGCTAATATTTTGTATTTTTTAGTAGAGATGGGGTTTTACCGTGTTGGCCAGGCTGCTATTTAATGGAAAAATCAGATTTAGAGAATAAATTTGACCGGCATGAGGCACCAGAATAATGGGAGGGCGTGAGGACCCATGCGATGAGTATATAAATGGGTTGATAAGTAGAAGTTCTCAGGGAGGAAAGCGATGGTGGTGTCCAGACAGCATTTCAAGACCCCTAGTGAGAAGTCTCAAGTTGCAGGCTGTGCCACAGCCCCGTATATACATTCACTCATTTGATATATATTTCCCGAGAACCCCGTTATAGTTGCGGGAGCTGTGAATGCAGCCACTAAATCTGACATAGATCAATTCACACGAGTTCACGGTAGAGGCAGGAAAATGGACATGCATGCCGAATCAGGGTTCAAGTGCTGTTACAGGGAATTAACAGGTGCTTTGGGATGAGGAAAGTGTTGTCTTGGCTGGGCGCAGTGGCTCACGCCTGTAATCCTAGCACTTTGAGAGGCCAAGGCGGGGGGATCACCTGAACTCAGGAGTTTGAGACCACCCAGGGCAACATGATGAAACCCTACCTCTACTAAAGATGCAAAAAAAATTAACCGGGTGTGGTGGCGCGCGCCTCTAGTCCCAGCTACTTGGGAGGCTGAGGAAGGAGAATCGCTTGAGCCCCAGAGGCGAAGGTTGCAGTGAGCTGAGATTGTGCCACTGCACGCCAGCTTGGGCTACAGAGTGAGACTGTCTCAAAAAAAAAAAAAAAAGTGCTATCTTTGTGAAGTCGGAGTTGTGGAAACTCTTGGAGGAAATGATATCTCTGCAGAGCCCTGAAGAACAAGGCAAGGTGTGGATAAAGAAGCAAAGATGGTGGCCGGGTACGGTGACTCACACCTGTAATTCCAGCACTTTGGGAGGCCGAGGCTGGTGGATCACCTGAGGTCAGGAGTTCAAGACCAGTCTGGCCAACATTGTGAAACCCCATTTCTACTAAAAATACAAAAATTAGCCGGGCGTGGTGGTGCATGCCTATAATCCCAGCTATTCAGGAGGCTGAGGCAGGAGAATCATTTGAACCCTGGAGGTGGAGGTGGCAGTGAGCCAAGATTGCACCACTGCATTCCAGCCTGGGTGACAAAAGTGAAACTCGGGGGAAGGGATAGCATTAGGAGATATACCTAATGTTAAATGACGAGTTAGTGGGTGCAGCACACCAACATGGCACATGTATACATATGTAACTAACCTGCACGTTGTGCACATGTACCCTAAAACTTACATTAAAAAAAAAAAAAGTGAAATTCTGTCCCAACAAAACAAACAAAAAAAAAGAAAAAAAAAAAAAAGGAAGAGAAGATGGAATAATTCTGTGGTTAGAAGGAATTGGGGTATGGTTGGGATGCAGCCAGGAGTCACTTATTTTTTTTTTTTCTTTTTTTTTTTGAGACAGAATCTTGCTCTGTCACGTAGGCTGGAGTGCAGTGGTGCGATCTTGGCTCCCTGCAGCCTCCGCCTCCCGGGTTCAAGCTATTCTCCTGCCTCAGCCTCCTGAGTAGCTGGGATTACAAGCACACGCCACCATACCTGGCTAATTTTTATATTTTTAGTAGAGATGTGGTTTCACCATGTTGGCCAGGCTGCTCTCGAACTCCTGACCTCAGGTGATCCTCCCACCTTGGCCTCCCAAAGTGCTGGGATTACAGGCATGAGCCACCGTGCCTGGCCGAGTTTTTGTATTTTTAGTAGAGATGGGGTTTCATCATGTTGGCCAGGCTGGTCTCGAACTCCTGACCTCAGGTGATCTGCCCGCCTCAGCCTCCCAAAGTGTTGGGATTACAGGTGTGAGCCACCGTGCCTGGCAGGATTCACTTATAAAGCTGCTTCTCTACAACTGGTTGTTGCCACAATGCCTCCTGAACCATTTGATACAGACCTATTCTATATTGGTTATTAACTATTTTGAATGGCTTCCTGCAGAGAAAGGAAAGAAAAAAAGACCAAAGTAGGAAAAAAATATTTCCATGGCCATCCTGTTAAAGAAGGAGAGATCTTTTCAGAAAAGACCAGAGTGGTTAAAAGTATGGTTTGCAGTAAGTGGTACAAAAATAGTTAGAGCCTAGAAGAGACCATAGGATTTGTCTACAGAAGAAATTCAGTGGCTGGGCGCAGCGGCTTATGCCTGTAATCCCAGCCCTTTGGGAGGCCAAGGCGGGGAGATCACTTGAGGTCAGGAGTTCGAGACCAGCCAACAGGGAGAAACCCCGTCTCCACTAAAAATACAAAATTAGCTGGGGTGGTGGCACATGCCTGTAATCCCAGCTACTCAGGAGGCTGAGGCAGGAGAATCACTTGAACCCGAGGGATGGAGAGCTAGAGGTTGCAGTGAGCCAAGATCGCGCCATTGCACTCCAGCCTGGGCAACAAGAGAAAACTCTGTCTCAAAAAAAAAAAAAAAGAAATTTAGCATGTAGTTCTCCCACCCTCTGCATCGTCCGGGATGCTCTGACAAATGGAATGCCAGTGTCCCTCTTTCCCTGCAGTGACTCCCTCCTCCGTGGGTCCAACACAGAGCTCACGCCGCCCAGGCTCAACACCAGCTTTCAGATCCACCCATGGCCACTGTGTCTCATGGTCATTCTTCAAAGAGTCTGTGTGTTCAGCCTTCTCCTGCCTTCCCAAGTGGAAGCTCTGCTGGCTCGCTCTCTAGTCCTCTTCCTGCTGAGCCAGTCTTCAACCAGGAACCACACTAGAGCCACCAGGACTAGAAAGGCCAGGCCCATCCGAAGGAGATTCTGGGCAGTGTGATCCCAGAGGGCATGGTCTGTAGGCAGGAGAACAGGGTGATCGCTGACAGGGATGTAAGGACACCCTCTTTTTTTTTTTTTTTTTTTTTTTTTTTTTTTTTTTTTTTGAGACAGAGCCTCAGTCTTGTCGCCCAGGCTGGAGTGCAATGGCACGATCTCGGCTCACTGCAACCTCCACTTCCTGGGTTCAAGCTATTCTCCTGTCTCAGCCTCCCAAGTAGCTGGGACTACAGGCACACGCCACCACGCCTGGCTAATTTTTTTGTATTTTTAGTAGAGATGGGATTTCGCCATGTTGGCCAGACTGGTCTTGAACTCCCGACCTCAGATGATCTGCCCGCCTCGGCCTCCCAAAGGGCTGAGATTACAGGTGTGAGCTACTGCGCCTGGCCAAGGACACCCTCTTGTTCCCATTTAGATTCCCTTCCTAGGTCTACTCTATGCCCAGCCCCTTCCTTCAGAGCCTATGGCCCCAGCTGTCTACTTACCTTTCTGGAGTCCCGTCTCTGTGGTTAAAAGGTAGGTGCCCCAAGTGTCTGCTGATGATAAGGGAAGTGAAGAAAAGAGGATGGTTTTGACCTCCTCCACCCCAGCACTCCTTCCCTTGGGTCTACCCCATGACGTTCTGCAGCTTTACAAGGTCCCACCTCACCCTGCGGGTCCCAGGAGCTTCATCCAGCAGGTAAAGTGGAAGGGTCCACAGATGGACGAACCTGACGAGGAATTCCATTCTAGCACTTGTGAGCATGTGTCTTTGCACCAGTCATGTCTTCTATTTTTTTTTTTTTTGAGATAGAGTCTCACTGTGTTCCAGCCTCTGGAGTAGCTGGGACTACAGGCACACACCACATACCCAGGTAATTTTTTTCATATTTTTAGTAGAAACGGGGTTTTGCCATGTTGGCCAGGCTGGTCTTGAACTCCCAACCTCAGATGACCTGCCTGCTTCGGCCTCCCAAAGGGCTGGGATGACAGGCCTCTGAGGCTGGAGTACAGTGGTGTGATCTCAGCTCACTGCAACCTCCGCCTCCCGAGTTCAAGCAATCCTCTTGCTTCAGCCCCGAGTAGCTGTAATTACTGGCGTGCGCCACCACACCCAACTCATGTTTGTATTTTTAGTAGAGATGGGGTTTCACTGTGTTGGCCAGGCTGGTCTTGAACTCCTGACCTCAAGTGATCCAGCCGCCCCTGCCTTCCAAAGTGCTGGGATTACATGCGGGAGCCACCCGGCCCAGCCCGTCTTCTATTTAAGCCTCATTTTCCTCATTAAGTCATCATTACCTCTTTCTCCTCACACATACACACATAGTGAAATTCAAAGTCTCACTATTTTTTTTTCTTTTTCTTTTTCTTTTTTTTTTTTTTTGAGACGGAGTCTCACTCTGTCGCTCAGGCTGGAGTGCAGTGGCGCGATCTCAGCTCACTGCAAGCTCCGTCTCCCGGGTTCACGCCATTCTCCTGCCTCAGCCTCTTGTGTAGCTGGGACTACAGGCGCCCGCCACCACGCCCGGATAATTTTTGTATTTTTTTTTAGTAGAGACAGGGTTTCACCGTGTTAGCCAGGATGGTCTTGATCTCCTGACCTCATGACCCACCTGCCTCGGTTTCCCAAAGTGCTGGGATTACAGGCGTGAGCCACCGCGCCGGGCCTCACTCCTGTAATCCTAGCCGTGCGCCCCAGGCCCATCCCACCGTCATCTTCCAAACATCATTTTCAACCCTCCTGGCCTCATAGTTATTATTGTATTACCCCAGTTATCTTCCTGCCCCAGGGCACAGGCAGATGCCATTTCATTCTCTCCAGAGCCTCCTTTCTCCTGACAGCCACATGATTAACTCAAGTCTGAACGCATTTGCTCAGATGCCTTCTTTCTCTGTGAGGTCCATCTGGACAAACCTATTTAATATTGCTAGCTGCCATTTCAATCACTGTAAGTCTGTTCTACTTTGTCTTTTCCTTCCATAGCATCATTCCCTCCTGTGTGCTATCCTGACGTTGACCGATGGTGTGTCTCCTCCTGCTAGAATCTAAGTGCTGCAGAGTCAAGATATCTGCCTGGCTGACTGTTACAGTGTAGTTCACTGTGTATACTATGCACTTGATGAATATATATATATAATAGTTTTGTTTTTGTTTTTCTGTGAGATGGAGTCTCGCTGTGTCGTGCAGTGGAGTGGAATGCAGTGGCGCGATCTCAGCTCACTGCAACCTCTGCATCCCAGGTTCAACAATTCTCCTGCCTCAGCCTCCTGAGTAGCTGGGATTACAGGCGAGCACCACCAGGCCCGGCTAATTTTTGTATTTTTAGTAGAGATGGGGTTTCACCATGTTGGTCAGGCTGGTCTCGAATTCCTGACCTTGTGATCCAACCACCTTGGCCTCCCGAAGTGTTGGGATTACAGGTGTGAGCCATGATGCCCAGCCTAAGTTTTGTATTTTTAGTAGAGACAGGGTTTCGCCATGTTGGCCAGGCTGGTCTCAAACTCCTGACCTCAAATGATGCACCATCTCGGCCTCCCAAAGTGCTGGGATTACAGGCGTGAGCCACCACGCCTGGCCTCGATGAATATTTTGAATGAATGCCACGTTTTTAGTGTCACTGGGAGGCTCTGATTGCTCGTCTGAGCTTAGAAGGACCAGTTACTCACCAGGAAAGGTGGGGTCTTCAGGTGCAAGGCTGGTGTTCTCAATGTCGCCTGGAAAAGGAGATAAAGAAAAAAAAGTAAGGGTTTTTGGTTTCCTCCGGTCTTGCCATTCTTTTTTTTTTTTTTTTTTTTTTTGAGATGGAGTCTTGCTCTGTCGCCCAGGTTGCAGTGCGGTGGTATGATCTCGGTTCACTACAACCCCCGCCTCCCGGGTTCAAGCGATTCTCCTGCCTCAGCCTCCTGAGTAGCTGGGACTACAGGTGTCCGCCACTGCGTCTGGCTAATTTCTGTATTTTTAGTAGAGACGGGGTTTCACCGTCTTGGCCAGGCTGGTCTCGAACTCCTGACCTTGTGATCCACCCGCCTTACCATTCCTTTCTCTGCTCCCTCCTCCTTCCTGCTTCTGGTGTTCTTCCTCACATGACCAACCAGGCACCCAGGAAGTGGACGTCCCTTGGACACCCTCCCCATCACTCTCTGGGGATCCCTCAGGGCTCCAGGTAGGACATGGCGGCGAAGGGTGTGGGGAATTGAGCATTTCCTCACCTGTGACCAGGAGCTTCACTGGCTCACTGGGGAAAGACCAGGCATGGTTGTTATAGGAGCCAAAACATCGGTATGTCCCTCGGTGGGCTGTGGTCACAGGGCCCAGGGGGAACTCCGCCTGGACCTTCCCGTATCCGCGCTGTACGTGGCTGGATCTTCCCTCCTTGAGCAGTAAGAACATGCTTGTTGCAGTGTCTAGACGGCAGTAGAAGGTCACCTTCTCTCCCGAGATCACTTCGGGTCCAGGATGAACCGAGAGGGTGGGTGTGTCATACATTTCTATGAGAGAAGGTGGGGCCACCACACCAGAAACTCAGTGATGAGCAGCCAGCTATTTTTTTTTTTCTTTCTTTAGAGATGGAGTCTCTCTCTGTCGCCCAGGCTGGAGTGCAGTGACACGATCTTGGCTCACTGCAACCTCTGCCTCCCGGGTTCAAGCGTTTCTCCTGCCTCACCCTCCCAAGTAGCTGGGACTACAGGGGCCTGCCACCATGCCTGGCAGCCAGCTTTTTTTTTTTTTTTAATTATTATTTTGGTCAAATACACACAATAGAAGATTTACCGTCTAAAACCATTTTTAAAAATGATACAGGGTCTTGCTCTGTTTCCCAGGCTGGAGCGCCGTGGCACTATCTTTGCTTACTGAAGACTCGACCTCCTGGGTCAGGAGTTTGAGACCAGCCTGGTCAACATGGTGAAACCCCGTCTCTACTAAAAATGCAAAAATTAGCCGGGTGTGGTGGCACATGCCTGTAATCTCAACTACTTGGGAGGCTGAGGCAGGAGAATTGAGGCTGAGGCAGAGGTTGCAGTGAGCTGAGATTGTACCACTGCACTGCAGCGAGACTGTCTCAAAAAAAAAAAAAAAAAGCCCCGGCCAGCCGCCCCGTCCGGGAGGTTGGGGGGCAGCCCCCGCCCGGCCACTGCCCCGTCTGGGAGGTGGGGGGGCGCCTCTGCCCGGCCGCCCCGTCTGGGAAGTGAGGAGCCCCTCTGCCCGGCCGCCACCCCGTCTGGGAGGTGTACCCAACAGCTCATTGAGAATGGGCCATGATGACGATGGCGGTTTTGTCGAATAGAAAAAGGGGAAATGTGGGGAAAAGAAAGAGAGATCAGATTGTTACTGTGTCTGTGTAGAAAGAAGTAGACATAGGAGACTCCATTTTGTTCTGTACTAAGACAAATTCTTCTGCCTTGGGATGCTGTTAATCTATGACCTTACCCCCAACCCCGTGCTCTCTGAAACATGTGCTATGTCCACTCAGGGTTAAATGGATTAAGGGCGGTGCAAGATGTGCTTTGTTAAACAGATGCTTGAAGGCAGCATGCTCCTTAAGAGTCATCACCACTCCCTAATCTCAAGTACCCAGGGACACAAACACTGCGGAAGGCCGCAGGGACCTCTGCCTAGGAAAGCCAGAGACCTTTGTTCACATGTTTATCTGCTGACCTTCTCTCCACTATTGTCCTATGACCCTGCCAAATCCCCCTCTCCGAGAAACACCCAAGAATGATCAATAAATACTAAAAAAATTAAAAAAAAAAGAATAAATGAGTAGCTGTGTTCCCCTGCCAGAACCTCCAAACAAGGTCCAAAGACCCTGAGCAAATGAAAAGGCACAGACAAAAAATATATATATTTCAACACAAGTATATGACACAGAATATAGAAATAACTTTTCCTAATCAATCAAAATATAAGCAACCCAATTTAAAAATAGGCAAAAGATTTAAATAGACATTTCACAAAAGAAGATATTTGAATGGACATGAAATACTGTTGTGAGCTGCATAATGACATTTTGGCCAACAATGTACCACATATATGATGGTGGTCCCATAAGATTATAATGAAACTGAAAAATTCCTATTGCCTGATGACATCATAGCCTTCCTAGCACAAAGTATTGCTCATGTGTTTTTGGTGTTGCTGGTATAAACAAACCTAATTGTATAGCACATACAATTATGTATGTATATGTAACTATGTATAATACTTGATAATAATAATAAACAACCATATTGTTAAAAAAAAAAAAAGCTAATTTTTTTTTTTTTTTTTAGAAAACCACCACCTGGCTGGGTGTGATGGCTCACACCTGTAATCCCAGCACTTTGGGAGGGTGAGGCGGGCGGATCATCTGAGGTCAGGAGTTCGACACCACCCTGGCCAACATGGTGAAACCCCATCTCTACTAAAAATACAAAATGTGGCGTAGTGGTGGGTGCCTGTGATCCCAGCTACTTGGGAAGCTGAGGCTGGAGAATCACTTGAACCCAGGAGGTGGAGGTTGCAGTGACTGGAGATTGCACCACTGCACTCCAGCCTGGGTGACAAGAGCGAAACTCCGTCTCAAAACAGATAAAAAAAAAAAAAACCCACCACCTGTGATGGGTGAGGGAAGCAAAGTGTAAGCCACTGCGCCTAGCCCACAGGCATTGTTTTTGAGGACATTCCTCAGTCATACCCCTGCATACAAATATCTATCTCAGAATCTGTGTCATGGAGAAACTGACTGAGGACACATCTGCTCCTAGGACGTAGAGACACGGTCTGCAGACAACCCCTTGTAGGCAAGGATTGTGATGGGGATCACCCCTCCTTCCAGCCTCCTACCGAGACAAGCAGTGTCTGAGTGGGGCTTGGAAGAGTTCATAGATGATGCTGCATCCCGGATGCAGACTGAGATCACTCTCCAGTTAGAGAACCGGACAGTTACCTGTTACCACCAGATCCAGCAAGTTGCTGGGCTCTGACCAGAGCTCCCCAACCCGATAGATGCAGCTGTATTGCCCTGCCATGCGGGAGTTCATGTCCGGGATGTAGAATTTGACTTTGTTAATCCGCTCAGGGGGTTTTGGTCTGTCCACGGCAAAAAGGCTTCCTTCAAAGTGCAGCTGGTATTCAACAGCCCCATAATTTCCCTGGCAACAGATGGTCACTTGCTTTTCCTTTGGAACCATGAAATGGGGCTCGGCCCAGATGAACGGTTTTGGGAGAGTCTCTGGAAGGGAATCAGAGGCTGGAGTTCCAGCGGAGCCCCCTCCCCCCAACCTTAGGCTCCACCCAGCTGCTGGCCCCAAGCTCTCCTGGGAAGCCAGCACCCTGTCCCCTCTCCCCAGCCGTGCTTGGGTGGAAGGAGCTTGGCCTGAACCCGGAAGAGTGACCCTGGGCTTTGAAGGAAGGACTCACGCTGCTGGGCGCTGATCCTCTGACTCAGACACAGCCCTGGAAGACGGGAGTAATGAGACCTGTTGCCTCCCAGGCACACCGTGATCCCATTCCCCTTCCACGCCAGAACTCACCGACGCAGAGCAGGGCAGGGAGTGTGGAAGACATCGCTCAGATTCTGCCGGCCTAGTGCTGAGCAGTGGGGACTGAGCCGGGCGGGCCAGGGAGATAGATACACAGGAAGTGGTGGGTGAGCACCAGCGCCCATCACCAGAGCGCTTTCACGTTGACTGCTTTCATCAGAACGTTCACAACTCCCCTCCGCCTCTGACCATGAGCTTACAGAAAGGCCGTGGTCCCTCTGACACATCTGTGGTCTAGCCAGCAACTCTGACAATTGTCTGCTCAGCCCAAAATGCATTTCTGGGTCAACTTCTCAATTCTGCAATGTGGAGGTCGTACCCAGAGCTGACTGTGGGAAGTTGTGCCCAATCATGCCCAGAGGAAACCCCCTGAGAATCGTATAAAAACATAGGGAGTTTCACAGTGAGATACTGGAACAGGAATTAAAAGAAATTACAGAATGTGTAAACAAAAACTCAGTTGTATTTAAGAAAACCCAGTTCCCCCCGAGGAAGAGAAAGAGGTGGAGTCCTTTAAACATGAACTGCCTGTTTTTCTGTCTGTGGCTAGTGAGCCTTATCTCTCCCTTTCCCAGGCATTGTGAAGACCCTGTTTCTCTTGCCGTGCGGCTGCAAGATCACTAGACAGGATAACCTCAAGTCGTAAAACATATTTTTCTTGAAAAGTAAGGAATAATGTGATGCATGTCTCAATTGAATAACTGCCTTTGTTTCTTGCTTCTGTAATATGCTTCCCCCTGCACAGATCTCCCCCAACCCCACAAAATGCTTAAAAGGTAACCGGACTCTCTGTTCGAGCCTCAGTCTTTTTGGATGTTAATCTGACTGGGGCCGGTGCACCTAAATAATAATAATAATAATAAATCCTCCTCAACCCCTCGGTCTCTCTGATTCCTAAATTATCCCTCAACAATACCATCTCACACCAGTCAGAATGGCCATTACTGAAAAGCCAGAAATTAACAGATGCTGGTGAGATTGTGGAGCAAAGGGGACACTTATACACTGTTGGTGGGTGTAAATTAGTTCAGCCACTGTGGAAAGCAGTTTGGTTTGGAGATATTTCAGAGAACTACAAACAGAGTTACCATTCAGCCCAGCAATCCCATCGCTGGGTATATAGCCAAAGGAAAATAAATCATTCTACCAAAAAGACACATGCACTTGTATGTTCATTGCAGCAGGATTCACAATAGTGAAGACATGGAATCCACCCAGGTCCCATCAGAGGTGGACTGGATAAAGACAATGTGATATGTATACACCACAGAACGCTATACAGCCTTGAAAAATCACAAGATTATGTCCTTTGCAGCAACATGGATGCAGCTAGAGGCCATTATCCTAAGCGAGTTAACACAGAAACAGAAAACCAAATACTGGCCAGACACGGTGGCTCACGCCTGTCATCCCAGCACTTTGGGAGGCTGAGGCAGGTGGATCACCTTAGGTCGGGAGTTCGAGACCAGCCTGACCAACATGCAGAAACCCTGTCTCTACTAAAAATTCAAAATTAGCCGGGTGTGGTGGCACATGCCTGTAGTCCCAACTACTCGGGAGGCTGAGGCAGGAGAATTGCTTGAACCTGGAAGGTGAAGGTTGCAGTGAGCCGAGATGGTGCCATTGTACTCCAGCCTGGGCAACAAGAGTGAAACTCCATCTCAAAAAAAAAAAAAAAAAAGAAAAGAAAACCAAATACCACATGTTCTCACTTATAAGTGAGAGCGCTAAACATTGGGTAAGGAGGGGAGCAAGGCTTGAAAATCTACCTATTTGGTGACTAGATCATTAATGCAAGCCTCAGCATCATGCAATATACTCATAAAAAACCTGCACATGTATCTGCTGAATCTAAAAAGATAAAAATAGGGGTTTTGACGTTGGCTTCTCTGTGTACAGTATACATATGCTTGGATAAGTTAATTGGTTTCATCAGAATGGAATGATAACACTAACTTCTTCAAAGATAGTGTTATAATGTTTCAATAAAATAAAAGTGAAAAGAAAAGCTTTTCATTTAAAGAACTTAATAAGAAAAGAAACATTTCTTTTCTTTTTCTTTTTCTTTCTTTTTTTTTTTTTTTTGAGACAGAGTCTTGCTCTGTTGCCCAGGCTGTGGTGCAGTGGTGTGATCTCAGCTCACTGCAACCTCTGCCTTGTGGGTTCAAGCAATTCTCCTGCCTCAGCCACCTGAGTAGCTGGGACTACAGACACCCAACACCACGCCCAGCTCATTTTTGTACTTTTAGTAGAGACCGGTTTTTACCACGTTGGCCAGGATGGTCTCCAACTCCTCACCTCAAGTGAATCTTCCTGCCTCGGCCTCTCAAAGTGCTGGGATTACAGGTGTGAGCCACCACACCCAGCCAAGAAACATTTCTTTTAAGTAAGTAACTAACTCTCCACTTAATAAAAAAAAATTCTATGCAGAAGTTGTTAAGATCTACAGTAAGAAAAAAGAAATTCATGCATTTTATATATACACACATATATACATATATACCTTTTATATATATACACATATATACATTTATACATATATGTATACATATATACATATATGTGTATATATACTGCATAGTACCGTACATGTATATATACACATGCATATATACACATACATGTATATGCGTATATATACACATATATGTATATATACACACATGCATACATGCATATATATGTATACACACATGTATGCGTGTATACATACATATATGTATATACATACATGTATGCGTGTATACATACATATATGTATATACATACATATATGCGTGTATACATACATGTATGCGTGTATACATACATATACATATATGTATATACATACATGTATATATACATGTATGTATATATGCATATATGTATATACATACATGCATATATACATGTATGTATACATATACGTATATGTGTATATATGTATATACATATATATATACATGTAAGGTACTATGTAGTTTTCAGCATCCACTGGGGCCTTGGAATATATCCTGGTGGATACATGTGACTACTGTACAAGACTAGTTGTATCTTCTTGAGGCAAACAAATGTGCTAATTCTTTTTTTTTTCTCTTTAAGACGGAATCTCACTCTGTCCCTCAAGCTGGGGTGCAGTGGTGCAATCTCAGCTCACTGCAACCTTCACCTCCTGGGTTCAAGCAATTCTCCTGTTCTAGCCTCCCAAGTAGCTGGGATTACAGGCGTGTGCCACCACACTCGACTAATTTTTGTATTTTTAGTAGAGACAGGGTTTCCCCATGTTGGCCAGGCTAGTCTCGAACTCTTGACCTCAAGTGATCAGCCCACTTTAGCCTCCCAAAGTGCTGGGATTACAGGCGTGAGCCACCACACCCAGCCCGCCTCCTTCTTATTTACTGAAGATTCAGTACTCGGTGCTGGCGTTTCCCCTTACACAGCTGTCATAACTCTGGGTGTTTTCTTTATCCTTCCCCCTACGGAGCGCTTGGATGCCCTCTATGGAGGAGACTTATGTAGGCTGGATCCTCAGACCTCAGCCACCCTCTCAGCCATAACATAGTTACCTTCACCAAAGAAATATAAGAATATTGTCTTTTATTATTTTGAGCTTTTAATTTTGACATAATTCCAGACTTGCAAAAATAGTTTAAAGAATTTCTGGCCAGGTGCAGTGGCTCACACCTGTAATCCCAGCACTTTGGGAGGCCGAGGTGGGTGGATTGCTTGAGACGAGCCTGGGGGAAAAAAAAATGCAAAAATTAGCCAGGTGTGGTGCTGTGCGCCTATAGTCCCAGCTACTTGGGAGGCTGAGGTGAGAGGGTCATCTGAGCCCAGGGAGGTAGAAGCTGCAGTGAGCCATGATCGTGCCACTGCACTCTAGCCTGGGTGACAGAGTGTTACCCTGTCTATAAAAAAAAAAAAAATCTGTAATTTCTTCATCCAGATTTCCCCAAAGTTAGCATTTTACCACATTTGCTTCATCATTCAGCCTCTCTCCCTCTCCCTCTCTCCCCGAAGAAAGTGTGTCTAATTTGCATATGATGCCCTAAACCTCTAATCACTTCAGGTTATATTTCCCAAAACCAAGGACATTCTGTTATTAATGTTCAAGGTCAAG
Source organism: Homo sapiens (assembly GCF_000001405.40). NCBI lineage: Eukaryota > Metazoa > Chordata > Mammalia > Primates > Hominidae > Homo > Homo sapiens. Next base: position 614,261 of record NW_003571061.2, on the reverse strand, counting down.
AAATAGCACTGATATGACACTATTGTCTGATCTATCCACTTTATTCAAATTTCACCACTTGTTTTACCAGTGACATATATTTGGTTTAGGATTTAATCCAAGATTACACAATTTATTTAATTGTCATGTCTCTCTTATTTGGAGATGGAATCTTGCTCTGTAGCCCAGGCTGGAGTGCAATGGTGTGATCTCAGCTCACTGCAACCTCCGCCTCCTGGGTTCAAGCAATTCTCCTGCCTCAGCTTCCTGAGTAGCTGGGATTAGAGGCACCCACAACCACGCCCAGCTAATTTTTGTATTTCTAGTAGAGATGGGGTTTCGTCAAGTTGGCCAGGCTGGTTTCGAACTCCTGAACTCAACTGATCCACCTGCCTCAGCCTCCCAAAGTGCTGGGATTAGAGGCATGAGCCACCACGCCCAGCCTCCTTTAAAAAATAAAACTATAGACTTTATTCTGATTTCACCAGTTTTTCCACTAGCATCCTTTCTTCGCTCCAGGAGCTCCAGTGATCCGCCTGCCTCAGCCTCCCACCTGCCTCGGCCTCCCAAGGTATTGGGATTACAGGTGTGAGCCATCTGGATCTATTTAATTCAGCCTTAAGCCCACACCAGCATTCCTGGGACTGTCCCCCCTCTACAGACTCTAAGCCATGTTTGAGATGATGAATTTCAAGTCGTGATTCAATCACTTAAGTGGTAAGTGACACAGAGGATATTACTAATCTTTTTTTTTTTTTTTTTGAGATGGACTCTTGCTCTGTCACCCATGCTGGAGTGCAGTGGCGCAATCTCGGCTCGCTGCAAGCTCTGCCTCCGGGGTTTATGCCATTCTCTTGCCTCAGCCTCCTGAGTGGCGCAATCTCGACTCACTGCAAGCTCTGCCTCCCGAGTTTATGCCATTCTCCTGCCTCAGCCTCCTGAGTAGCTAGGACTACAGGTGCCCACCACCACGTCCGGGTAATCTTTTTTTTTTTTTTTTTTTTTTCAAAGTAGAGATGGGGTTTCACCATGTTAGCCAGGATGGTCTCCATCTCCTGACCTCGTGATCCGCCCTTCTCGGCCTCCCAAAGTGCTGGGATTACAGGCGTGAGCCACCGCACCCGGCCTTTTTTTGGTATTTAAAAATATAACTTTATTGAGATATAATTTACATGCCATACAATTACCCATTAAAAGTGCATAATTCAATGGTTTAAATTTTGTGGTATTCACGGAGTTGGTGCAACCGTCAACACAGTCTAATTTTAGAATGTTGTCATCACTGCCCTTCAGAACCCCATGCCGACCAGCTGCCCATCACCACGATCCCCTCACTCTCCCGGCCCTAGGCAACCACTCATCTTCTGTCTCTAAACACCAGAAGGTACTTTTCAAAAATTGTGGCAAAATACACATAACATACATTTTAATATTTAAGAAGTTTTCTAAGGCCAGGTGCAGTGGGTCATGCCTGTAATCCCAGCACTTTGGGAGGCCGAGGTGTGCGGATCACCAGGTCAGGTGATCCAGACTGTCAGGCCTCTGAGCCCAAGCTAAGCCATCATATCCCCCTGTGGCCTGTATGTACACATCCAGATGGCCGGTTCCTGCCTTAACTGATGACATTCCACCACGAAAGAAATGAAAATGGCCTGTTCTTGCCTTAAGTGATGACATTATCTTATGAAATTCCTTCTCCTGGCTCATCCCGGCTCAAAAGCTCCCCTACTGAGCACCTTGTGAACCCCACTCCTGCCCGCCAGAGAACAACCCCCTTTTGACTGTAATTTTCCTTTACCTACCCAAATCCTATAAAACGGCCGCACTCCTATCTCCCTTTGCTGACTCTCTTTCTGGACTCAGCCCGCCTGCACCCAGGTGAAATAAACAGCCTTGTTGCTCACACAAATCCTGTTTGGTGGTCTCTTCACACGGACGTGAGTGAAATTTGGTGCCATAACTCGAATCAGGGGATCTTCCTTAGGAGATCAATCCCCTGTCCTCCTGCTCTTTGCTCCATGAGAAAGATCCACCTACGACCTCTCGTCCTCAGACCAACCAGCCCAAGGAACATCTCACCAATTTTAAATCCAGTAAGCAGCCTCTTTTTACTCTCTTCTCCAACCTCTCTCACTATCCCTCAACCACTTTCTCCTTTCCACTCTTCAATCTCTCCCTTCTCTTAATTTCAGTTCCTTTCCTTTTCTGGTAGAGACAGGAGACGCGCTTTATTCGTGGACCCAAAACTCCAGCGCCGGTCATGGACTCGGGAAGGCAGCCTTCCCTTGGTGTTTAATCACGCAGGGACACCTCTCTGATTATTCACCCACGTTTCAGAGGTGTCTGACCACATGGGGATGCCTGCCTTGGTCCTTCACCCTTAGTGGCAAGTACTGCTTTTCTGGGGGGGCAAGAACCCCCAACTCCTTCTCTGTGTCTCTACCCCTTCTCTGCTTTTCTGGGGGGGCAAGAACCCCCCAACCCCTTCTCCTTCACCCTTAGTGGCAAGTACCGCTTTTCTAGGGGGCAAGAATCCCCCGATCCCTTATTTCTGTGCCCTGACGTCTTATCTCTGCACCCCGATCCCTTATTTCCACACCCCGACCTCTTGTCTCTGCACCCCAATCCCTTACTTCTGTGCCCTGACCCCTTTCCCGCTTTTCTGGAAGGTAAGAACCCCTGAACCCCTTCCCTCCATGTCTCTACTCTCTCTTTTCTCTGTGCTTGCCTCCTTCAGTATGGGCAACCTTCCACCCTCCATTCCTCCTTCTTCTCCCTTAGCCTGTGTTCTTAAAAACCTAAAACCTCTTCAACTCACACCTGACCTAAAACCTAAATGCCTTATTTTCTTCTGCAATGCTGCTTGACCCCAATACAAACTTGACAGTGGTTCCAAATAGCCAGAAAACGGCACTTTCAATTTTTCCATCCTACAAGATCTAAATAATTCTTGTTGTAAAATGGGCAAATGGTCTGAGGTGCCTGACATCCAGGCATTCTTTTACACATCGGTCCCTCCCTAGTCTCTATGCCCAGTGCAACTCGTCCCAAATCTTCCTTCTTTCCCTCCCGCCTGTCCCGTCAGTCCCAACCCCAAGCATCGCTGAGTCTTTCTAATCTTCCTTTTCTACAGACCCATCTGACATCTCCCCTCCTCGCCAGGCCGAGCTGGGTCCCAATTCTTCCTCAGCCTCCGCTCCTCCACCCTATAATCCTTTTATCACCTCCCCTCCTCACACCCGGTCCAGCTTACAGTTCCATTCCATGACTAGCCCTCCCCCAACTGCCCAGCAATTTCCTCTTAAAAAGGTGGCTGAAGCTAAAGGCATAGTCAAGGTTAATGCTCCTTTTTCTTTATCTGACCTCTCCCAAATCAGATAGTGTTTAGGCTCTTTTTCATCAAATTTAAAAACACAGCCCAGTTCATGGCTCATTTGGCAGCAACCCTGAGACGCTTTACAGCCCTAGACCCTAAGTCAAAAGGCCGTCTTATTCTCAATATACATTTTATTACCAAATCTGCTCCCAACATTAAATAAAGCTCCAAAAATTAAATTCTGTCCCTCAAACCCCACAACAAGACTTAATTAACCTCGCCTTCAAGGTGTACAGTAATAGAGTAGAGGCAGCCAAATAGCAACATATTTCTGAGTTGCAATTCCTTGCCTCCACTCCAGTATCCAGATGAGACAAACCCCAGCCACATCTCCAGCACACGAGAACTCCAAACGCCTGAACCGCAGCTGCCAGGGGTTCCTCCAGAACCTCTTCCCCCAGGAGCTTGCTACAAGTACTGGAAATCTGGCCACTGGGCCAAGGAATGTCCACAGCCTGGGATTCCTCCTAAGCCGCATCCCATCTGTGCGGGACCCCACTGAAAATCGGACTGTTCAACTCACCTGGCAGCCACTCCCAGAGCAGCTAGAACTCTGGCCCAAGGCTCTCTGACTCCTTCCCAGATCTTCTCGGCTTAGCAGCTGAAGACTGACACTGCCCGATCCCGATCGCCTCAGAAGCCTACAGGACCATCACAGTCTAGGTAACTCTCACAGTGGAAGGTAAGCCCGTCCCCTTCTTAATCAATATGGAGGCTACCCACTCCACATTACCTTCTTTTCAAGGGCCTGTTTCCCTTGCCTCCATAACTGTTGTAGGTATTGACAGCTAGGCTTCTAAACCTCTTAAAACTCCCCAACTCTGGTGCCAACTTAGACAATACTCTTTCAAGCACTCCTTTTCAGTTATCCCCACCTGCCCAGTTCCCTTATTAGGCTGAGACACTTTAACTAAATTATCTGCTTCCCTGACTGTTCCTGGACTACAGCTATATCTCATTGCTGCCATTCTTCCCAATCCAAAGCCTCCTTTGCTTCCTCCTCTTGCATCCCCCCACCTTAACCCACAAGTATAGGATACCTCTACTCCCTCCTTGGTGACCGATCATGCACCCCTTACCATCTCATTAAAACCTAATCACCCTTACCCCACTCAACGCCAATATCCCATTCCGCAGCACGCTTTAAAAGGATTAAAGCCTGCTACAGCATGGCCTTTTAAAGCCTATAAACTCCCCTTACAATTCTCCCATTTTACCTGTCCTAAAACCAGACAAGGCTTACACATTAGTTCAGGATCTGCGCCTTATCAACCAAATTGTTTTGCCTATCCACCCCGTAGTGCCAAACCCATATACTCTCCTATCCTCAATACCTGCCTCTACAACCCATTATTCTGTTCTGGATCTCAAACGTGCTTTCTTTACTATTCCTTTGCACCCTTCATCCCAGCCTCTCTTCGCTTTCACTTGGACTGACCCTGACACCGATCAAGCTCAGCAAATTACCTGGGCTGTACTGCCGCAAAGCTT